>NT_187367.1:0-176043 GCF_000001405.40 Homo sapiens
GAATTCTCAGAACTTTCAAAACACAAATCTTCATCCGCAGGGATGTTCAGGAGGGAGATGCCTGATGCAGCACAACTTTCTTTCAGAGGAGTATCTTGCAGAATACAGTATGAGATACAGAAAGGCTGCATTGAGTCTTTTTAATGGCCCAGGCCTTGGTGAGGGTGGGGTAGGAGCTCTCCAGAGAGCATCTAATGAGTAGGAACAGTTCAGGTGGCTTTTTTTTGTTTCCTTATTCGCAAAACTGTGTGTACACCACGAATGAAGCTGGTCTCCCTTATCCACGTCAAAACTAAACCTAAATTAATTGGCTAAATTGGGACTCAACACCTCCAGGAGCCACGCGGCAAAAAGCCCCAACACACTTTAAATTAGCTTACCTCATCATATTTGAGGAAAGCAAAACGCTTATGACCAGTATGCTGCTAATAGAAGTCTACAGATAATGCTGTATGAAAAACTAGTTTTCCCAATCATAGCTGGCATAGTCCACATTTTGCATTACACTTTCCCCCCCTTTTTTTAAATTTTAAACACAGGTCTTTTTCTCTTCTTTTTTTCAATTTTAATTAAATTATACAAGACGGAGTCTCAGTATGTTGCCCAGGCTGGTCTTCAACTCCTGAGCTCAAGCGATACAACCATCTCCGCCTCCCAAAGTGCTGAGATTGCAGGCCTGAGACACTGTGCCTGGCCTTAAACACAAATCTTAATTCATTCTTACAATTATTCTGAGGTTACAAAAATGGAAGGGGAAGAAAAATGGCAAGTAGGTAGGCTGACTTCGGCTTCATTATTTGGAAGGACAGTTTGCTCGGTTAAAACACACTACTGCTTACAAAGGCCAAGACAACAGAAAAATACAGACTTACATAAATAGATTTTATATGTGACAGCAGTTTGAATGGAGACTTTTTCAATGCAATGAGAAACAGCTGTGCTTGGGAATAAATGACAACGAATTTTTTTTTATCTCAACAGCTGTCCTGAGAGCATGTCTCTACATCTCTACCTGCATTCTGGAATCAGGGAGAAAGCCAAAACGGATGACAAGACACTAGATCAGCCGTGTCCAACACTTTGACTACAAGGACTTTTTCACCTATCTGTGGTGGTGGGTAGCATGAAAATTATGCACAAACCTTTTTTTTTTTTTTTAACCCCATCAGCTGTTGTTAGCATTAGTGTATTTTATGTGCGGCCCAGGAGCATTCTTCTTCCAATGTGGCCCTGAGAAGCCAAAAGACTGGACACCTGTGCACTAGATCAAAAGGCTACTCCTTCTGGAAGCAATTGTAAAGAATTTCTGACATTATCTTGACATGAAAACCAATGGGTAGTGGGACAGAATGCAAAATCTTGAAGAATTTTTCTTGTCTTTTTTTTTTTTTTTTTTTTTTTGAGTCACGGTCTTGCTCTGTGGCCCAGGCTGGAATACACTGGTGAGATCAGAGCTCAGTGCAGGATCAAGTGCTCCTCCCGCCTCAGCCACAGTAGTAGCTGGGACTACAGATGCGCACAACCACCCCTGGCTAATATTTTATTTTTTGTAGAGATGGGGTTTCACTATATTGTCCAGGTTGGTCTCAAACTCCTTGACTCAAGGGATCCAGGAAAGGATAACAGGTGGGAGCCACCACACCTGGCTATGTGCATGAACTTTTAAGACAAACACAAGGCCCCACAAAAGTTAAGGTTTTTCCCACCTAATTTCCAGGGGGATCTTTTGGTGCAAGGCTGAGAAGCCCTTAAAAGTACACAGACAACTCCAAAGATTCAAGACAGTTCATTTGGGCTGAGCCAGCCCACTGGGCAGACTGACCTTCCAAAAAGACCCACCCATGACATACACCAGATGGCTCTCCAAGAATCTCTTCAGTCCTCAGGGTCCCTAAAGTACTGGACAGAGCTAGGAAAGCAAACCCATTTGCTTCTTCCTGCAGGAAACCCCTTGAGGTTAAGACCCCACAATCACATGAGGATGGAGTGGCTCACCCTCAGTCAACAGGCCAGACTCAAGGTGGTATAATGTCTTAACCACGGGTGCGGGCCTCCAGGTCTGACTCCCAACTCAGTTCTTCTTTAATAACCACACTTTGTTAATTTTCCTTAACAGGGGTTCCTGGCAAGTCATTTCTCCCTCAGGCCTTCGGTTTCCTCACCTACAAGATGAGAGGGCTGGACCAGATGGAAATTCAGGGGGTAAGGGGATGTCCTCACGCAGCCCACCCCCACCCCCACGGGACCCTGGAGCCTCCATCCCAGTTCCCACCACGCACCCGCTCCACAAATCCTGCCCAAGGTGAGGGCTGGTCCTGGGTCCTCTGGCTGCCGCATCAGCGAGTGCAGGAGGGAGGGGAAGCCTCCAAGGGGGTGACGTGGGCTCAAAGATGCAACTCGGCCAGGAGTGAACTGGGGCCCCGAAGGAGGTGTCCGGGCCGCTCCTGGAGCCCAGCCCGGGTCCCCGAACCCCTTACCTCCGGGGTCTGTATCTCCTGCTGGGTGAGGTCGTTGGACACAGCGCACTTGGTGCACAGCCCGCACAGGCTGCCAATGAAGATGACGATGAGCTTCTGGAGCTGCCCGCACTGCTGCAGCGCCCGGCTGGCCGCAGCCCCTGTGCCACCCTCCGTGGCCGCCGCATCACCCCCACCACCGCCCTCCTTCTTCTCTCCCATCGCCTCCACAGGCAGCGCCACTCTATGCAGGCCACAGGGGCCTAGGCAAGGAGCCTGGGGCGCCGGCACCTAGGCAAGGAATCCCTGAGCCAGGAGAGCTGGACCAGGAGCACCCCTCAGCGCTGCCCTTGCCAGGACGCCAGTAGAGCTGGCAGCCGAGTCTGCCGCTCCCGCCCTCAGAGCCGTGGCGGCGGGGACAAAAATCCTCGGCGGCGGGGGCAAAAAGTCGCGGTGACAAAAAGCGGCGGTGACCGGGGCAAAAAGTCGCGGCAGCAAAAAGCCGCGGTGGCGGGGACAAAAAGCCACTGCGGCGGGGGCAAAAAGCGGCGGCGACAGCGGCAAAAAGCCACGGCGGCGGGGGCAAAATGCCGCGGCGGCGAAAAAGTCGCTGCGACAGGGGGGCAAAAAGCCGTGACAGCGGGGCGCAAAAAGCCGCGGCGGGTAAAAGGCCGTGGCGAGTAAAAAGCCGCGATGGCAAAAAGCCGCGGTGGGCAAAAAGCCACGGCGGCGGTGGGGCAAAAAGGAGCGGCGGTGGCGGAGGGGCAAAAAGCCGCGGCAGCGAGGGGGCAGAAAGCCGCGGCGGCAAAAAGCCAAGGCGGCGAGTGTGCAAAAAGCTGTGTCGGCGGTGGGGCAAAAAGCCGCGGCGGCAGAGGGGGAAAAAGCCGCGGCGGGGGGTGTGTGGCAGAAAGCCGCGGCGGGCAAAAAGCCGCGGCGGCGAGGGGGGCACAAATCCGCGGCGGGCAAAAAGCCGCGGCGGCGGGGGGTAAAAAGCCGCGGCGGGCAAGAAGCCGAGGCGGGGTGGGGGCAAAAAGCCGCGGCGGCGGTGGGGCAAAAAGCCACGGCGGTGGGGGCGCAAAAAGGCGCAGCGGCGGGTGGGGGCAGAAAGCCGCGGCGAGCAGAAAGCCGAGGCAAGGTGGGGGCAAAAAGCCGCGGCGGCAGAGGAGCAAAAAGCCGCGGCGGCGGGTGTGTGGCAGAAAGCCGCGGCGGGCAAAAAGCCGCGGCGGCGAGGGGGGCACAAATCCGCGGCGGGCAAAAAGCCGCGGCGGCGGGGGGTAAAAAGCCGCGGCGGGCAAGAAGCCGAGGCGGGGTGGGGGCAAAAAGCCGCGGCGGGCAACAAGCCGAGGCGGGGTGGAGGCAAAAAGTCGCGGCGGCAGGGGACAAAAAGCCGCGGCGGCGGGGGCTAAAAAGCCGCGGCGGCGGGGGGCAAAAAGCCGCGGCGGTGGGGGCAAAAAGCCGCGGCGGGCAAAAAGCCGACGCAGGGTGGGGGCAAAAAGCCGCGGCGGGTGAAAAGTCGCGGGGGCAGGGGGGAAAAAGCCACGGCGGGAAAAAGCCGCGGCGGCGAGGGGGCAAAAAGCCACGGGGTGCAAAAAGCGGCGGGGTGCCAAAAGCGGCGGGGTGCAAAAGGCGGCGGGGGGCAAAAAGCCGCAGCGGCGGGGGGCAGGCAAAAAGCCGCGGCGACAAAATTCGCAACGGCGAGGGGTCAAAAAGCCGGGGCGGACTAAAAGCCCTGGCGCCGGGGGGGCACAAAGCCGCGGCGGACAAAAAGCCGCGGCGGCGGTGGGGCAAAAAGCCACGGCGGCGGGGGCGCAAAAAGCCGCAGCGGCGGGTGGGGGCAGAAAGCCGCGGCGGGCAGAAAGCCGAGGCAAGGTGGGGGTAAAAAGCCGCAGCGGTGGGTGGGGGCAGAAAGCCGCGGCGGGCAAAAAGCCGCGGCGGCAGAGGGGCAAAAAGCCGCGGCGGCGGGTGTGTGGCAGAAAGCCGCGGCGGGCAAAAAGCCGCGGCGGCGAGGGGGGCACAAATCCGCGGCGGGCAAAAAGCCGCGGCGGCGGGGGGTAAAAAGCCGCGGCGGGCAAGAAGCCGAGGCGGGGTGGGGGCAAAAAGCCGCGGCGGGCAACAAGCCGAGGCGGGGTGGAGGCAAAAAGTCGCGGCGGCAGGGGACAAAAAGCCGCGGCGGCGGGGGCTAAAAAGCCGCGGCGGCGGGGGGCAAAAAGCCGCGGCGGTGGGGGCAAAAAGCCGCGGCGGGCAAAAAGCCGACGCAGGGTGGGGGCAAAAAGCCGCGGCGGGTGAAAAGTCGCGGGGGCAGGGGGGAAAAAGCCACGGCGGGAAAAAGCCGCGGCGGCGAGGGGGCAAAAAGCCACGGGGTGCAAAAAGCGGCGGGGTGCCAAAAAGCCGGGGCGGTGTAAAAGCCCTGGCGCTGGGGGGGCACAAAGCCGCGGGTGCCAAAAATCCGGTTCGTTGGTGGGCAAAAAGCCACGGCTGCGGGGGGGGGAAAAGCCGCATTCCGTGTGAGGGGCAGAAAGCCGCGGCGCGCATGAAAGCCGAGGCAATGTGGGGGTAACAAGCCGCATGCCTTCTTGGGGGCAGAAATGTGCGGCGGGCAAAAAGCCGCGGCGGCAGAGTGGGCAAAAAGCCGCGGCGGCGGGTGTGTGGCAGAAAGCCGCGGCGGGCAAAAAGCCGCGGCGGCGAGGGGGGCACAAATCCGCGGCGGGCAAAAAGCCGCGGCGGCGTGGGGTAAAAAGCCGCGGCGGGCAAGAAGCCGAGGCGGGGTGGGGGCAAAAAGTCGCGGCGGCGGGGGACAAAAAGCCGCGGCGGCGGGGGCTAAAAAGCCGCGGCGGCGGGGGGCAAAAAGCCTCAGCGGGCAAAAAGCCGAGGCGGGGTGTGGGCAAAAAGCCGAGGCGGGGTGAGGGCAAAAAGCTGCGGCGGGAAAAAGGCCGCGGGGGCAGGGGGAAAAGCCACGGCTGGGGAAAAAGCCGCGGCGGCGGGGGGGCAAAAAGCGGCGGGGTGCAAAAAGCTGCGGGGGGCAAAAAGCCGCGGCGGGCAAAAAGCCGAGGCAGGGTGGGGGCAAAAAGCCGCGGCGGCGGAGGGGCAAAAAGCCGCGGCGGCGGGTGGGTGGCAGAAAGCCGCGGCGGCGAGGGGGGCACAAAGCCGCGGCGGGCAAAAAGCCGCGGCGGCATGGGGTAAAAAGCCGTGGCGGGCAACAAGCTGAGGCGGCGGGGGGTAAAAAGCCGTGGCGGGCAACAAGCCGAGGCGGGGTGGGGGCAAAAAGTCGCGGCGGCAGGGGACAAAAAGCCGCGGCGGCGGGGGCTAAAAAGCCGTGGCGGCGGGGGGCAAAAAGCCGCGGCGGGCAAAAAGCCGAGGCGGGGTGGGGGCAAAAAGCCGCGGCGGGTGAAAAGTCGCGGGGGCAGGAGGGAAAAAGCCACGGCGGGAAAAAGCCGCGGCGGCGAGGGGGCAAAAAGCCACGGGATGCAAAAAGCGGCGGGGTGCCAAAAGCGGCGGGGTGCAAAAGGCCGCGGCGGCAGAGGGGCAAAAAGCCGCGGCGGCGGGTGTGTGGCAGAAAGCCGCGGCGGGCAAAAAGCCGCGGCGGCGAGGGGGGCACAAATCCGCAGCGGGCAAAAAGCCGCGGCGGCGGGGGGTAAAAAGCCGCGGCGGGCAAGAAGCCGAGGCGGGGTGGGAGCAAAAAGTCGCGGCGGCGGGAGACAAAAAGCCGCGGCGGCGGGGGGCAAAAAGCCTCAGCGGGCAAAAAGCCGAGGCGGGGTGCGGGCAAAAAGCCGCGGCGGGCAAAAAGCCGAGGCAGGGTGGGGGCAAAAAGCCGCGGCGGCGGGTGGGTGGCAGAAAGCCGCGGCGGCGAGGAGGGCACAAAGCCGCGGCGGGCAAAAAACCGCGGCGGCGGGGACTAAAAAGCCGCGGCGGCGGGGGGCAAAAAGCCGCGGCGGTGGGGGCAAAAAGCCGCAGCGGGCAAAAAGCCGAGGCGGCGTGGGGGCAAAAAGCCGCGGCGGGTGAAAAGTCGTGGGGGCAGGGGGGGAAAATCCACGGCGGGAAAAAGCCGCGGCGGCGAGGGGGCAAAAAGCCGTGGGGTGCAAAAAGCGGCGGGGTGCCAAAAGCGGCGGGGTGCAAAAGGCGGCGGGGGGCAAAAAGCCGCAGCGGCGGGGGGCGGGCAAAAAGCCGCGGCGACAAAATTCGCAACGGCGAGGGGTCAAAAAGCCGGGGCGGACTAAAAGCCCTGGCGCCGGGGGGGCAAAAAGCCGCGGCGGGCAAAAACCCGAGGCGGGGTGGGGGCTAGAAGCCGCGGCGGCGGTGGGGCAAAAAGCCACGCCGGCGGGGGGTAAAAAGCCGCGGTGGGGAAAAAGCCACGGCGGTTGGGGGCAAAAAGCCGCCGCGGCGGGCAAAAAGCCGAGGCGGGTAAAAAGCCGTGGGGGCAGGGGGGAAAAAGCCACGGCGAGGAAAAAGCTGTGGCGGCGGGGGGGCAAAAAGCGGCGGGGTGCAAAATGCCGCAGCAGCGGGAGACAAAAAGCCGCGGCGGCAAAATTCGCAGCGGCGAGGGGTCAAAAAGCCGCGGCGGGCTAAAAGCCCTGGCGCCGGGGGGGCACAAAGCAGCGGCGGGCAAAAAGCCTAGGCGGGGTGGGGGGAATAAGCCTCGGCGGCGGGGGGGCGAAAAGCCGGGGCGGCGGCGGCGGAGGGCGAAATAATGGAGATGGAGTGGAAGGCCGGCACAGCTTGGCATTGCTGGAGTGCGATGTGATAGGAAATTTCCTTTTTAAAAAAAATCACTGATATGTTTCTATTTCGCAATAGATAAAAGCTAGTATTTCAGCCTACCATTGAGTGTACTTATAGCTCACCAAAAGGGCACTCTGTCTCGGGAATACAGATTTGCCTAGAGTTATCCTATTGCAGTCAAAGAAAGAGCAATGAGGGATAGAAAAGGTTAGTGATGGAGACACCAGCGCTGCATTTTGCAACAAACAATGTAAAAACTTTACGGATTGGTTCTGCTAAATTACTACAGTTTACATTCCTCTCAGGTGAGAGAATTGTTGCGTTTTTTCTTAAGATAGAAAAGCAATTCAGATAATCTGAAATCTCCACAAGAAGGATAAGAAGCACAGCAGAAACTATTCTAGGCAGGAAGTCAATCCTTTCAACTGTCTGTCCTCCATAGAAACAATTGTCTGCACTGGGAGTCATATGAGGTACAGACCACAGCCAGACCTCT
Organism: Homo sapiens; assembly: GCF_000001405.40. Taxonomy (NCBI): domain Eukaryota; kingdom Metazoa; phylum Chordata; class Mammalia; order Primates; family Hominidae; genus Homo; species Homo sapiens. The sequence continues at coordinate 7,669 of NT_187367.1, forward strand.
GATCCTCTCATTAGTGATTTCAGAAGAAATTACCAGTCAACTGAGTAACTCACTGAGTAAAGTAAACATTTGGCACTGAAAGAGGTTAGACGGATAACTATTTGTATCACCATATTCATGAAGCTGGAATATGTTCCATTACTCGTATGACATCCGAATGGAAGATGTTGAAAGGCCTCTCAGCTTGTAAGATGGATATGAAAGAACATTTTCTGAGAAATGAAATTATTAACACACCTGCGAGGTGCATGGAAGAGAAAAAAAAGAATAATCAGCTTGAGTTCTTCTCCTTGATAAGAGAACTCACTAAAAACATAAAGAGAAAAATAAAAGTATAAAATAATTAGCCAGAAGAAGACGACTCTAGAGATTTTAAATTGCTGATAAGATTTTAATTTGCTCCAAGTTGAAAATAATTATATTGCTTGTGTTTTAAGGCACATAATGAGCAATTATATCACACATGATAGTTTCAGCAGTAAAATAGTATCCGTTAACAGCTGGAACTCATAAAAGCATGGCACAATGTGAAGATGGAATTTGCTAAAATAAACCATCTGCTGAAAACTACTATTCTGCAAATTTAAAAATGAAGTTTAAATGTTATTTGTCTTATTTAATAGGTCTGTGAAAAAAATGCGATGTTTGAAAAGTAGGTGCTACCTTAATTAGTTTTTTATGTTAGACGGCTGGTTACAGTAATGCACAGTAAGGTGCTACATAGATATGTTGCTAATTTTCTGCATATACTATGTATTTTGCTTAAATTATTTGAAATTTTATAGTTAAAGTAACAAATGTATACTTAAATGTTTTGACACAAATTGAAAATATACCTTTAAAAAGCGTCTTACACTCTAAATATTATTTGTCACCTATATATTTGTCTTTTCTCTATAGGAAAGTTTAAATTTTTCCCTTGAAGCTTTAATTATTTGAGTTTATAAAATAAACTGATAATGTACAAATTAACAGGAAAAAAGGTTTACAGCTACGTGCACAAGTATGCACTTGGAGTTTACATAATATATATAATATATCTATACAAATATTTGTATATTATAAACAGACATACAAATATATACTATATATATAAAAACTCCAGGAAAGGCAAGGTAGTCAACAAGCCTATGCTGTCTTGAGGTTACAGAAAACACAGAGCTCTAGGTTGGTAAATCAGGCTTTGCGGAAGACAGGTGACAACAAGGAAGAAAGAGGAGCCTGGCAGCAGAAGTGGTCTTGTTACATGGGTGAAACCTCACAGGGAGCAGCCCTCCTCTTGGGAAGTATAGATAGGAAATGGTTTTTAGAAATGTAAACGTGCCAGGCTCAATTAATCATTCCTAAACCCAGACAAGGGAGTATCTCAGGGAAAGCCTGTCTATATCAATGCAGATTTTCTCTACAAATACAAATCTCCCCAACAAACACAGCTTTTCAGCTATTTTTGTAGAAGAAGCTATCTCCAGTCTTCCGAGTAGCCATCTTGAAATATGTCAAAAAGCTGGCCAGGCGCACGCCTGTAATCCCAACACTTTGGGAGGCTGAAGTGGGTAGATCACCTGAAGTCAGGAGTTGGAGACCAGCCTGACCTACATGGTGAAACCCCGTCTCTACTAAATGCAAAAAATTAGCCGAGTGTGGTGGTGCATGCCTGTAATCTCAGCTACTTGAGAGGCTGAGCTAGGAGAATTACTTGATCCTGGGAGGCTGAGGTTGCAGTGAGCCAAGATTGTGCCATTGCACTCTAGCCTGCGCAATAAAAGCAAAACTCCATCTAAAAAAAAAATGCATTTTTGGGTAATATTTTGAGTATCTTTACCTCCATATATACAATAAATAATATTGTGATTTTTAATCTTTGCTCTTCTGTGGAAAAAAACACAGGTATGATTTCTAGTGTAGCTGAACATCGTTTATTTGACAATATTGCAGTTGTGTGTGGGTGTGTGCCTGTGTAGCTACTCTTTAAATTTGTTCTCACATAATGATTAGATACTAACAATTAATTCAGTAAAATGTATGTTTTGCAATATTTCTCCATGTTGTTATGCTTTAAATTAGTTTAATCATGCCCCTATGATGTGTACATTTTAACCTTTCACTATAGGTCTCAATCTTGCTTTGGATCCTGTATTTCAATTTATGCTAACAAAGTCCTACAGCTAAAAAAGATTATATAAACTTAGCTACATTTTTACTAGTATTCTGGTGTCATTTTAAATTATGTAATGAAATCGAATTTTAATTTGGATTATTGTTATCTGAGTTAAGGATATAAATTTTTAATTTTCTTATAAATATTACATAATTATTTCTGAACCATATATTGACTAATCTGCCCTTTATATGATGTGCATTATAAGAGCTTGGGATTGTTTCATTTGGAAAGATGAATGCTGGAGAAGTAGATATTTAATCATAACATTTCAAAATCTACTGGATAACCTAGAATTGAAAAATAGACTATAGGTTGAAAAACTCCTGTAGTGAAGAAAGAAAATAACTAATATACATTGACAGTATAAATATTATAAGTATTTATTTTATTAACGCCCTGAAATTTGATAATACAAACATGTAATATCTACATATCATCCATATATCAGGTCATAAAAAATCAATACATTCTTCAAAAATTTAGCATAACAGAAAATGCACTCTCTCTCCTTGATGGAATTAAGTTACAAATAAAAGTAAAAATAAGTAGATAAGTAGATGGAAGTAGATGTTTAAAAACAAAGAAAAATGTTTGTTTGGGATAACATAAAATCTCAATTGACAATTCCAATATTTCCAGAAATTTGCCTGTCAACTGGTGGAGAGTTTTCCCCAGGAGACATTTGTCAATGTCTAGGGTTATTGTGGGGATGTCAAGACTGGTGGAGGCGTGAAATTTAGAGGTCAAACGAAACACCTAGCCTTGCTAGGGCAGCCTCCCACAACAAAGAATCCTCTGGTCCTAAAGGTAAGTAGCACCAAGGTTGAGAAACCATAATCTAGACAGGAAACACTACGTAGCTATGCCAAGTGTTCAGGAAAACACATCAGTGCCCTCGAGGGGAAAAGTGTAAACATTTTAATTGCTGTACATGGTGACACAAATCCATGTTGTTAATCTAAGTGGAAGGAGCTGAAACACAAAACGTAATTCAAAGAGTTTACTTGAGCCACAATGAGGACAGCTGCCTGGAAGAAACAGACCCAAGTATCCCTGGATATGAACTCCCTTTGGAGCTTTGCAACAAGCAGTTTCTTAAAGGCAAAAAAGGGCCCAGAAGTGTGATGATGCAAAGAGGTTTGTCACAAATTCTCATTGGCTTATGGAAATAACATTTATTAGTGACTGGCTATACACGGTTACACTATTATGGGGTGTGGATTATAGTGTCTGGTGTGGCGTTATTGGTTAATTTATAGCTACTGTGGCAACAGCAAGCAGCCTAGATGAACACACAGCTCAAAGAGGAGAAGGACAGAACTGCTGTCTCATTTGAATATCTCTCTGGGCCTGATTATTTAAAGGGACTTGCATTTCTCACATGAAAGTTATTTTCTTTACTCAATGTCCATAAATGAGAATAAATAGACGTAAAATAGATCTTTTTGAGGATGAAGTAAATGGAATGAAAAACAAAACCCAAGCTAACCAGAAATCATAGAGGGAAGAAAAGGTTATAAATATATGGATTTTTCAAAGTGATTTTAAGCTATTAGGAATCAGTTAAATGTTGGGAGATTCTGTCTGAGAATAGGTTAAAGGAGAATGTCCCTTTTGCCTTCTGAAGTTTCCCTGAAAATCACTAATAGGAGGCAGATAAATAGTAGAAAAGGCATACAGGTTTCTGCAATGTGTGTACACTGGAGCCCTTAGAACGAAGACCCAGACACACGATGCGTGCAGAAGCTTATCTACCACATGAAATTTACAAAAAGAATGGGGTCTTGGATCACAGGGAAAAAAAAAGAAAGGTTATGTGAGAAAACGACCCTGGCTAGCAACAGTGGACTTATTACCTAGGTGGAATCTCACTGGGAGCAGTCCTCAGAGAGAATAGACAGAAAATGTTTCTTTCAGACATTTGGAGACCTCAGACTCTCAGTTAAACTTTCCTAGATCCAGACAAGGGGGCAGACCTCAGAGAAAGCCTGGCTGCATCAAGGGAGTTTCTCTACCGATGCAAATCTCCCCAAGACAGCTTTGCAGCTAACTTTGCATTTCCAGCCCTTCTCAATAGCCATTTTGAAATATATCAAGGAAATATATTTAGGGGTAAAATATATTAGTTTCCCTCATACAGGTATAAAACATACAGGAATAATTTTTGTCAATATCTACTACAAATCCAATATAGCAGTAATTATAAAACCCACCAGATATTGAAGAAAAATTATGTAGAGTACCTCAATTACAAATGTTGATACTAAAATGCTAAATAAAATAAAAATAATATCCAACAATATTTGAAACAGTAAGACAAGAAATTGGCAAAAAAAAAAAAAAAAAAAAAAACAAATATGCACCTTGGGGATGAAAGTGTGTTTCCAAATTTGGTAATCCAATAATATTAATAATCATATTGATTAGCCCAAATTAAAAATAAATAGGGGATTCTCAGTACATGCTAAAGTATATTTGTTAAAAGGCAATATTCATGTCTTTAAATATTTTAAATGCTATAAAGAGTCTGATATTCTATATGCAAACATGTGTATGTCCATTAGAAGAAGAGAGGCCTGGTTTTCATATGTCACTACAAAGAGATAGAGAAGTGGATAGATAATTTGCATATGCATAGAGAAAGCATAACATAGAAATTTACTATCATATTAAAGGAATTTTAATTCAACAATAAAATAATTCAAAGGTAAAATTTTAAATATTTTTAACAGGTACATTATTATTAGATAATATTTATACTAATTGTGAAAATATTCAATGCTAAAATAAGATACAATGTCTAAACATCAGTATTAAAACTAGTATAACATTTGCTTGTTTATACAAGGAAAATTCAAGCTCGACCTAAAATTATATGGGAAATAAAAGAAAAATTTTAAGAGAGCTCTTTAATAACATAATCATATGTATACATACACACACATATATAACATGTATATATGTTATATGGTATAGATATAGATTTAACATGTTATATATATATTTGTATCTATAACTACAGCTGTATGTATCTACATTTCTATATATTTACTCAGTGATATAAATATAGACTGGAATAAATATAAAGACATATATGATTCTTGGATAAAAAAGATTTAGTATCATAAAGGCAAATTCTTTCCAAATTCACTTATGAATTCACAACAATATACAGTTTCATTAGTATAATTTAAAATTTTTAAATAAATTCCAAGATTCATTTAAAGGAATATAAATGTATACAAGCAGTCAAGAAAGAAGCAAGAGTGCACTAAACTAACTTGCTATTAAAATACCTTTTTAAACTTAGTCACTAAAACTGAGCAGTACTGATTTGGAGTACTGGAATTTAGGTATATGGTATCTCAAAAGCACAGAGCTCAAAGGAGACCCCTGTATGCACGAGAGCTTAAGATGTGCTTTGGAAGGCATTACGAAACCACGGGCAAAGTTCCTTTAGTGTCTTAGTCTTACTAGGTTTGAAAAGCCAGAGAAAAGACTCAAGACCACCATATAAGAGCAAAACAAAAGGACAGGGAAATAATGTGAAGATACTGAAACATTTTACATACAGTTGTATAAAGCATCCTTTAAAGAAAATATAAAGTTTAGGATATACATAAAAAGCAGCAGAGCCACTAAATAAATAGATAGGCATTGTAAAATAACAAGAGAAAATTTAAATGGATTTCTAAAAAATACTCACACCTATGATTTTTAAAATATGTTTAAGAAATCCCGTATTTCACAGGGCAGCCTTTCACAACACAGATATGTTAGGACATAAAGGTCCTCCTGTTTTTAATTTACTAGTGTTTATAGGGTTACAAATGTCTTCTACCCTTGTCTTTTGTCTGATGGTGCAAAAAATTTTCATAAGCATGTATTTCTGAATGCCTGATGGATTGACATATATAATAAGCTGCTAGTATTAAAATACGTGACATAAAACGCATCCAACCTTCTCACTGTTCACATAAATTCTAGATTTCTCCTATTTACCTCAAGCACGTATGGAGCGAATTCTTACCTTTTAATATTGCCATGGCATTCACATTGAACATAAGTTGAACTCTCTCATATGGTAGCTGGGTTCGGATTCCCTTGACAATTTCCAGTTCTAACCCTCACAGTTCCTCAGTGTGGCTGGCCCAGATATTGACCCTACACAGTTGCCTCCTCCTGGTGACTACCAGCTATGGAACAGTTGGATACAACCTACCTGACTCACCCCACAGACCTCACAGTGCACATGGACAGCCCCCACACGCCAGAGTGACCTGCTCGATTGCAGCAGGAGTCAAGAAATGTGCCTGCTGGCACTCACCCCACCGACTAGTGCCCCGTGGAAAACTTATTTGGATAATGTTCTGGGCCCAATAAAGGCTGGAGTCCCACAGACCCCTTTTCTCTCTCCTGCTCCCCACTCATCTTCCCCATTTTGTTCAGCCCTATGAGGTGTGCTACTGTATTAGTCCATTTTCACACCGCCGGTAAAGACATGCCCAAGACTGGGTAATTGCCAGAAGAAAGAGATTTAATAGACTCACAGTTCCACATGGCTGGGTAGGCCTCACAATCATGGCACAAGCCGAAAGGCACGTCTCACCTGGCAGCAGACAAGACAAGAGAGCTTGTGCAGGAAACTCCCCTTTATAAAACCATCAGATCTTGTGAGACTTATTCACTATCAGAAGAACAGCATGGGAAAGACCTGCCCCCATGATTCAATTACCTCCCATCTGTTCCCTCCCACAACATGTGGGAATTCAAGATGAGATTTGGCTGGGGACACAGCTAAACCCTCTTCTCAGCTACCCTCTTCTCTCTGGATCTGTGAGTAATAAACCTACTTCTGTGATTTCCCATGTTTGGTTCTGTGGCCTCCATGTGTCTGAGCTGACCTACACTGCAACCTAACTCTCCTCCTGGCCAGGGTCTCTGAGAGTGGCTCTTGTCAGAAATACACAGGACACAGGTCAGGTAACAGTCACCAGACATCTCTTAGTCTCAACAGATGTTCCGTGAGAGGGAGGCCTGGTCGTGGGATGCACACCTGGCCACTGCTGGGGTAAGGAAGTGTCCTGTGAAAGGCACATGTTAAGCATCCACAACCCCCTGACCAGAACCCCAGAAAGGCAGGGCTCCAATTGACAGTCACTCTCCAGAGACAAACCTGAAGCCCTAACTGGAGGAAAAGAAAACACTGTAAAAAGTTGAATTTATCTTACTATTTCAATGATCCAGTAAAGATATTCTATGCCTGTACACCACATATTTTCTTCGATTGTGGATTTATTTTAGATAGAATTTTAGGTCTGGCTTTCACTTTAGCCTGGTCCCTACCTCAAGCATAAGGTAAAGATTTTCCATGCGTTCTTTTCTGGTACTACTACCTGCCAGTGTGGGGTCATGTCCTAGTCTATCTTGAGGCAATCCCCCTGTTCATTATTGTCAGAGTGAGACTGTTAAGTCTTGATTTCCCTGGACAACTTCACTGTATGACTTTTCATATGATTTTTTAATATACCCTTTACTGGACAATAAATTCTATAGTTATCTGAATAAGAGATATGCTCAGGAAGAGGCATTGCCTCATTCAGCTTTTCTCTTAGTTGAACTCGCATATGTTCTCCTCACCCGCCAGTCACCTCTAAACCGTATTGTTCCAAGACAGCAAACAGAACTCCAGTGTGTATCTTTCACCACTGGATTTATGTTTGCTCCATAAAGCTTCATGCTTAACAGGGTTTCTGTTAGCATTTTCTCTATTTACTTTCCCATAAAATATCACAGGCCTTCTTCTTATGGAATTATGGGTGATTTCCTTCAATCTGCATCATATCAAGCTGAGGTTCATGTTGATGAAAAGTAAAGCATACTTTGAAAATATCAGTAAGGATGTTTTCCCCTCCTTTTTAGCACCTGTGCTTGTGTTACAAGCACATTTTAATACAATTGTAGTCTCATGCTTTGATCATTCCTATGATGAAAATAACATTTTTAGATAAAATATCTGAGTTTTATGAGGCCTTTAGTATGTGATGTGATAGAATATCAGAAGACCATACTTTTTTCTAGTTGTCCGTGCAATTCTATCATTGTTTCATCTTTACTCCTACCAGAGTAATTTTCCAAAATAGATATCTTGTCATTCTTCCTGTTGTTATCAGTAAATATGTGAAATGAAAGCTAGATTATATAATTTATCTAGAACAAGAAAGTAGAATTGAATCTGTATTCATTAATGAGACTAACCAGTCAATTACACAGACAGGCATTGTACATTTTGAAGATCATATGGACCCATTGTCAGAAATATTATTATTTATGTCTATATGGACATCACCTGTGCATATTTACATAGAAATCAATGAGAGCTGATTTTTACTTTTATTATATATATTTTTTGAGATAGGGTCTTGCTTTGTTGTCCAGGCTGGAGTGTAGTAGTGCAATCACTGCTCACTGCAGCCTCAGCCTCCCAAGCTCAAGCAATCCTTCCACCTTGGCCTCCCAAATAGCTAGGACAACAGGTGCACATCACCTTGCCCACTTTTTTTTTTAACTTTTGATAGAGACTGGGTCTTGCTATGTTGCCCAGTTTGCTTGTGAACTCCTGGGCTCAAGGAATCCTCTCATTTCAGGCTCTTCAACTGCTGGCATTACAAGCATGAACCACCATACGGGATGGAAGTGGATTTTTAAAATACTGAGCTCATATAGATGACAGCACCTGAAAAATAGACAACACCAAGCTTTATGTTAAAAGGTGTGAGGGTAGCAATATGGTTGTGGCTATTGGGGAGGAAACCATTAGTAAAACCAGTAAGTTAAAGCTCTTGCTTTAAACTTTGGCTTTAATTTAACAAATGTTCTATGGAGTGACAGTATGTATGTAACCATGCTATGCCCATTCACAGATGCAGTAGAGGGAAGAATTTCTCAAAGACAACTGTTCTAAGACTCAAATTAAACCGTCCTGGGTTTGAAAAGAGAAAGTCCAGGAATTACCAAATATTTTAGATATCAGATACAAGAGAATGCCAGGTATGCGATGATAATCAGCAATGGTTGTTCACACAATACATCAAATCAGTATTTGAATTAGCTTTTGAATTGCAAGGACAAATGGATCAAGTCTAGACTCTTTAGTAGAGAAATCTTATTAGGCTGAGATGTGTTTTCCCCTGTTTGTCCACAAGGAGATTACAAATTGGCAAACCTCAGCTGCTCTCATTTTATGCTCTCACCAAGCCAAAAGCTGAAGTTCATCAATCAGTGTGTCTAATTGTTCACTGGCTATATACCATTTTGTAGTTTCAGCTATCTTTCCAACTTCCTAAATCCTCACCTTCATTTGATCTTGTTTTTTTCCACTATCACATCTTTATTGACCATATAAAGAATATAAGTAAGTTCTTATTTTGTTATAGTTCATTTTAGTCTAATTTCATCAAAAGATCACTATCTTTTAATTTCATTTTAATTTCAAAGATTAAATGAAACCTACATAGAAATGAGTGTAAGATTTGCATTTGCATTATTTTGGCATCAATTTGCTATCCTCCCTCATGCACATAGAGATCATTTCCATGTACGTGATTTCAAACATCCAAGTGCAGTATTAAAAGCAGTTGTAAATTATGGTTCTCATTTTCATGATACAATTACAATATAAACTTCCTCTTGCTGCTGTAACCAATTACCACAAACTTCATATCTTACAATAAAGTGACCGTTAATCCCACAGTTCTGTAGTTCAGAAGCCTTAAATTAAACTCACAGGGCTAACATCAAGTTTTGGGCAGGGCTGCAGTCTTTCTGAGGGCTACTTGGCAGAATCTATTACTTGATATTTTTCAGCATCCAGAGGCCACCTTTATTCCTTGGAACATGACCTCATTCTTAGATCCTATTTTTCTTTTTTTTTTTTTTTTTGAGATGGAGGCTCCTTCTGTCACCCAGGTTGGAGTGCAGTGGCACGATCTCAGCTGACTGAAACCTCTGCCTCCCGGGTTCAAGTGATTCTTCTGCCTCAGCTTCCTGAGTAGCTTGGACTACAGGCACTTGCCACCACGCCCAGTTAATTTTTTGTATTTTTAGTAGGGATGGGGTTTCACCATGCTAGCCAGGATGGTGTCAATCTCCTGACCTCGTGATAAACCCACCCCAGCCTCCCAAAGTGCTGGGATTAGGCATGAGCCACCGCGGTGGGTCCTCATTCTTGTATCTTAAAAGTCAGTGATGTTGAGTAATTTCTCATGCCACCACCTCCAAGGTTGCCTTTCTTCTGCCTTCTTCTTACACTTAAAAGGAAGTTTGTGATTTCATTGATCCCACCCATTTAAGACAATCTCTCTATCATTTTTCTGCAACATTAATTTCACTTGAAATCTAATTTCACACTGCCGTGCAACCTAACATAATTGTATGTTAGACTCTGGGAATTAGGACATGAAAATTTTTGGGAGGCCATTCTTTGGCCTACAGCAGACATAATCTATTTACCTGCAGATTATAGCGTTCTTTATTTTTCTGTCTCCCTCTCTTAATTTTTTTAAAATAATATTAATTGTAGTAAAGAGAAAGAAAGAAAACAAAGAAATAAAAGAAGAAAGGAAAGAAGGAAGGAAGGAAATAAAGAGAGAAAGAAGAAAGAAAAGAAGGAGGAAATGAGGGAAGGAAGGGAGGGAGGGAGGAAGGGAGAAAGGCAGGAAGGGAGAAAAAAGAAAGCATGAACACAAGAAAGAAAGAAAGAAAGAAAAGGAAGGAAGAAAGAAAGAAAGAAAGAAAGAAAGAAAGAAAGAGAAAGAAAGAAAGAGAAAGAATGAGAGAAAGAGAGAAAGAAAGAAAGAAGGGAGGAAGGGAGGAAGGAAAAGAGGAAGAGAGAATGGTCAAAGGGAGGAAGGAACAGAAACAAAGAAAATAAAGAGGCGAAGGAAGGAAGGAAAAAGAGGAAAGGAAGGGAGGGAGGAAGGAAGAAAAGGAGGGCGGGAGGAAGGGAGAAAAAAGGAAAGAAAGCAAGAAGGTGAGAAAGAAGGAAGGAATATGAGAAAAGAGAGGAAGAAAGTGAGGGAGAAAGGAAGGGAGGGAGGAGGGAAGGAAGAATAAGAGGAAAGAAAGAAAGAAGGAAAGAAGGAACGAAGGAGAAAAAAGAAAAGAAAGAAAGGTAAAGAAAAAAGAAAAGAAAAGGAAGAGGAAAAGAAGAAAGGAAGGAGGAAGGCAAGGGAAGGGAAGAGAAGAGAAAGGAAGATGGAAAGAAAGAAGGAAGAACGCAAATATTAGAAATTCTGGGTTTGTTAGAGAATATGCCATACTGTTTTTTTTTCACTTGAAAGGAAAGAGTATCTGCCATTGAATATTGGATGTCTTGTTGGTGATATTGTTGTTCTTATCTTCCACATGATTACTGAGTTAGTGCCTAGTCTTTCCATTTCTAAGACAAAAGTGTTGATGTCGGCCAATATAATTTTGGATTTTTCCAGTTCACCTTTGATTTCTTTCCTGTTTTACCTCATGTATTTGGAGGTTCTGTTGTTAGCTGCATACCCTAATTAGTAGGATGTTTACATCTTCTTGAGAATTGATTATTCTATTATGTATTATCTCTCATCTCTGATACTATTTCTTGTTCCGAACTCTGTTGTGTCTAATATCAATGTAGTCCTTCCACAGCTTTATTTTAGTGTTTCCATGATATGGCTTTCTCCATATCTTGATGATAACCTCTTTATATCTCTATATATTTGGAGCAAGATATAACATTTAGACTTGATTTTTTAAAGATTTTTCAAGATGTAATTCTTATTTCTTCTTGTTCTATTTGACATTCTCTGAGTTTCCTATATTTGAAGTTTGATTTTCTGTCACTTCTTTTAGAATATTTTTGGCAGTTATTTTGAAAAATATTTCTTTTGCTCCATTATTTTTCCCTCTTTTCTTTTTGGGATTTCAATCATAATTAGAGTAGGTAATTTGATCTCAGTCTTATGCAGGTACTTTTTCTCAGGGTCTCAGGAATGTAGCCTTCTCACACTTCTGTTCTTTTCCTGGCTGTGTTGGTGAGCTCAGTGATATTCCTCCTTCACCTTCAAGAGCAGTTTTGTTTTGTTTTTCCTGTTTTCATACTCCCAGCATCAGGAGGATCCTAAGTGTGGCAGTTTTTGTTGCCTTCCCCTACATATCAAGTGGAATATCTTGCTCTATTTGGACTCTTATAACAAAATAACATAAACAGGGTGACTAAAAAACAACAGATATTTCTTTTTTCACACTTCTTGAGGCTGTAAGATCTCAGGTCAAGATGCTCACAAATTCAGTGTTGATGAGAGCCCATTTCATGGTTCATAGGTGGTGCCTGCTTTCTATGGCCTCACATAGTGGAAGGCACACAAGAACTCCATTGAGCTTCTTTTATAAAGGCACTAATCCCATTCATATGGGCTCGACCCCCAAGACCTGGTCACCTCCCAAGTGTTCTGCTCTCCCTGATCTGTGTCATATACAGACTCTCTTGGATTCCTTACCAATTGCTTGAGAGATCGCAGTGGGTTTGTGGGGAAAAAGTTTTCAAGATGATGGATCTTTCCCAACTTCTGCAGCTGTCAGCGGTCTCCCAATCTCACCAGCCCCACTTTGTCTTTAGGAATTTATTGATTATTCCAGCTTTACTTGTCATGGTGGTGCCTATTTGCTTCTGTCCTATGTAAGTGCATCCGTCCTCCTTCTCCTTGCAGGTGCTTGTTTTCCCTCACATTTTGACTCAGTTCTTGGCAACCTCGTTGCTATAAAAATAAAGTCATGACTTTGAAGTTAGTTTGGGTCTTCCATTGTTGTCAGGTTTGGAACCCTATTCCATCCCAGATCTCCAAAACCCAGACTTTTTGGGGGGTTGAAATTTTAGGCTTTCTCTTTGAATTGTAGTTTTATCTTCTTTCAGTTACCATTTGCATTTTCATAATGATTAATGAGACTAAGCTTTTTTGTGTAGTTGACTGTACCTTGGATTTTTTTTCCCAAATACCTTTTTATTTCTTCTATTCTTTATGATTTTAGAAAATGTAGTTTACATAATTGCAGCTTGATTTTTTACTCAGTTAATGGCATGCTTAATGGAGAGAAAAAATATTAAATATATTTCCCTTTTTAATTACTGTGCTTTTTCCTTTTTTAAGGAAATGTTTCATTATGTTAAATTTCAGTGTTATTCTACTTAGCTATTCCTTAAATATTATAGTATTTTGGATTTCACATGTAAATTTGTAACATATCTTGAGTTTATTATGTATAGAGTAAGGCTATTTTCTCTTTTTTGTTTTTTAAGGTAAAAATCACATAATACAAAAGTAATAACAACCATTTTAAAGCATACAATGCACTTGCTTTTAGTATATTCACCATGTTCCAGGGCAATTTCATCATGTCCCTTACAAAAACCCATTATGCATAAAGTGGTTACACCCTATTCTGCTTCCCTGAGCCCTAATGACCACTAATCTGATTTATATCCCAATTGATTTGCCAATTCCTGATGTTTCATGTGAATCAAATCAAGTAATATTTGTCCTTTGTGCACTTAACATAATGCTTTCAAATTTCACCAATATTATACTATATATAAGTACTTCATTCTTCGTTATAGCTGAAAATTGGGTGTCCCTTTATGAGTCAACAAGCATATGGATTGTTTCCACTTTTTGACTGTATGAATATTACTGCTGTAAATATTCATGCACATGTTTATTTTCTGAGCACCTATGTTTTGTAAGATTAACAGCTGACTTAAGAGAAACAATGGAAGGCAAGAGGCAGTAGAATAATATATTCAAAAGATGCAAAGGAAAAAAACCTCTCAGCCACGAATTCCTTATCCAGCAATTATTTTTCAAAAATGAAAATAACACAAAGACTTAGCCAGATAAACAGAAACATTAACTGAAGTTGTTGCTGGCAGACCTACCATATAAAAATAAAAAACTCTAAAAAAATTCCTATGGCTAAAAGCAAGTTACAGAAGACAGTCACTTGAATCCACATTTTAAAAAAAGCACTGATATACGTAATATTGACATTATAAAAGACAGTAAAAATGCATTTCTTCTTTATAATAAATTGTTTATTAAATAACATGTGTATAATGGCCAGGCACGATGGCTCACACCTGTAATCTCAGCACTTTGGGAGGCCAAGGCGGGCTTATTACGAGGCCAGGAGATCGAGACCATCCTGGCTAACACAGTGAAACCCCGTTTCTACTAAAAATACAAAAAATGAGCCGGGCGTGATGGCGGACGCCTGTAGTCCCAGCTACTCGGGAGGCTGAAGCAGAAAAATGGCATGAAGACGGGAGATGGAGCTTGCAGTGAGCGGAGATTGTGTCACTGCACTCCAGCCTGGGTGACAGAGGGAGACTCCGTCTCAATGATAATAATAATAATATGTGCATAATGTATTGCTGAGTATTTGACATGTAGAAATGTAATACGTCTATAACATATTTTCCAGTAACATCAAAAAGGAGGTAGTTGGAAGAAAAATGTATTGTGATAAGGTAATCACTCTAGATGGTAAAGTAATAATTACTAAAATGTATTGTTTGCTTTGTAACTTTAATAGATGTAATGTGTAAAGTGATAATACTTTAAAATGGAGGAAATAAAAAAGATTTATATAAGAATGATGTTTCTATGTATTACTAAAAGTTTAATAGTATAAATTGGAAGACGATTTGAATAATTAATTTTCCATACACCTATATGGTAAACTTACAACAACAATAAAAATCTCAAAAATATATAATAAAATAATTCATTAGTAATCTAAAGTTCCCTATTTTAAAAAATATTCTTGCATTGCAAAATAAAGCAATAAAGAAAAATATTTGGAAATATATAAAACAAACGGTAAAATGGCAGACATAAATAGAATTATACCAATTATAATCTTAAATGTGAGCAGATTAAAATCCATTCCAGAGGCAGAGATTGTCAGACTGGATTAAAACAAGTGATCCCAATATACGCTGAGATGCAAGGATACTAACGGATTGAAAGTAAAAAGATGACAAAAAATATCCTACAAAGAGCAATCATAAGAACACTGAACTCATTATACTCAACACACAATATAGACTATTAAAAATGTGAATAGGATTTTAAAAATTTATATTGTAGTAAAAAGGGGGTCAACGCTTTAGGAAGACATAGCTATTACAATCATGTATGCACAGATATGAGCTAAATTGTTTCCTCTATATAGATGCTGAAATTCTAACCACTGAATATGACCTCATTAGGAAATAGGTTATTTGCAGCTGATCAAGTTAAGATACAATCAGATGAGCCTGAATTCAATATGATTGATGTCCTTATTAAAATAAGAAATTTGAGTAGAGGGAGACATACACACAGGGAGAGTACCATGTGATTATGAGGGCAGAGATTAGCCAAGGAATGCCAAAGACTGCCACTAAACCACCAGAAGCGAGAAACAAGGCACAGAACAGGCTTTCTCTCATAGCCCTTGAAGGGACCATCCCTGCTGACACCTCAATCTCAGACTTTTAGCTTCCAGGACTATAAGACTATAAATGTATGCTGTTCAAGGCACTCAGTTTGTGTTAGTTGGTTATGGCAGCCCTAGAAAAGTAATACATGAACTAATAACAAAGCATAATAACATGGAGCAAAAATTGACAAAAGAGGAGCATCAGCAAAATGGCAGTGGAGACAGCTGCAATCTGTCATTTCCCCACAGAAACATCACACAACTAAGAGAAACTGTCCGAATAAACTTTGCCAAAACTCTGGAAAATGGTCAAAAGATTACAACAACCAAGTGAAAGCAGACTCAAGAAAAAGACAACTGGAAAACTTTACGACATTTTAAACTTGTCTTTGCCCCAGCAAATTGGCAGTTTTGAAGTGTCAGAAGCCCACGTTCCCAGTGAGGAAGCCTGGTCCATGGTCCAAAGGAACAAGAGAAGATCTTACCCGCAAGTTATTATGTGTCTGTTCTGACTGGTCTGGGGGATACCTAAAGGACTCATGAAAGGCTTTTTTTTCTGTGTTGCTTGAATACAGAACAGATAAGGAATGGACATTATTAAGAAACTCTGCAAGGAGACTTAACAAACCACAGATGCTTAGGGCAAAAATTAAAGTTTACACATATAGTAGATCACCTTCAGCACAGCAAGAAAAGGTGGAGAAGAGTATTTCAAAAACTAAGACATACAAAATCATTCACGTACATGGGAGAGTCTAGAAAGTCACATGTATTCATAGGTTAAGCCACATGCTGACAAATGTCATAAGAAGACCCTACACTTTCACCTTGGCCGATCCCTCCCCTCAGTGCAAGCTCTGTGCAAGAGTGAACTTGAACTTCACTCAGTGCAAGAGTGAACACACACTTTGTGCCGGCTTTAAAGAACCCAGCACAAAGCCAGTCTGCATGGCCTAGAGACATATTTTGCTGGACAATGATTACTTGTTTTTCTTTTTGTTTTTCTTGTATTTGCCTGTTTGATTGGTTCCTGACATACAAGAAAATCACTGTCAAAACATTAGCTTAACATTTGTTAAGGAAACAAAAAGACTTTGGTGACCACACCTTATAAAGCAAACAGTTTTGTAAATCACTTTGGAAAATTTCACTAAAAAAAAAATCCTTAACAATATAATAAGTAAAGAAAATTTAAAACCACAAAACATTACTGTGTTTGTAGGGAGTGTTCGATTTGCAGAGTAACCACTTAGTAATTATAGTTATTAGAATGTCCAGTTTTCAAAAAACGTTACAAGGCATACAAAGAATGGGAAAGTGTGGCTCATTCAAAGGAACAAAATAAATTGACAGAAAATATCCCTAAGGAAACCCAGACATCAAACTTACTAGACAAAGACTTTAAAACAACTCTCTTCATTATACTCAAATGTCAAAAGGAAAACATAATCAAAGAAATAAAGGAATCAGAAAAAATATTAAAAAGTAGGAATATCAGCAAAGAGATAACAGAAATTCTGGAATGGAAAACTACAATGATAAAAATTTCAAAATCACCAGAGGGATTTAAGAGTCTATTTGCACACACAGAAGAAGCCATGAACTTGAAGAGAAGATAATGGAAAATACTGACTCTGAGAAACAGAAAGAATAAAAAATAAACAATGAGCAGAGACTAATGAATCTGTGGGACATCATCAAATAGACCAACATTCAAATTCTAGGAGGATAAATTATGTTATTAAAAAGTTTACCCTTCTTTCTTTTCACCTTTCTTCCTTCCTCCTTCCCCCTCCTCTTTACTTTTCTTCCTCTTCGTCTTCTTCTTTCTCTCCTTCATTATCCCTTTTGCTGTTTCTCTTTCTCCCTTTCTCTTTTTTCTTTTCTTTCAATTTTCTCAATTACTAAGAGATGTTTAAGTATCCTTACCCTGTTAGTAGATACGGTTATTTCTCCCTTTAGTTCTCTTTTGAGATTTATAGTCACTCTAAGTAAAGAGATAACCCAAACATAAGCGTCACAAACAGGCTTTCATACCATTCTTAATTTGGTCCTGTAATTCTTCATTGCTGTATTAACTTTCTGATGCTTTTAAGGATGTTTTATAACAAATTGTTTAGTTTTTTCCACTGGAATGTTTATTCTGAATTATCTAATTCATATTGTAAGTATAGAGGGAGTTTAATATAAAATTATTAAACTAATATTTGTGAAAGAATGTATTTGTGCATTCAACAAATATGTTAATCATCAGACTGTTATTGGGCAGCTGAGCATACAGGAATAAAAATAACACAATTTTTATGTGTACAATATTTATGGAATGCGTTACTGGACCAAATAAATAATTTAGTTAATAACATGACAAAGAACAGAAATTGTATACACTATAGAGCATAGTAATGGAATAATGAATGATTAAAGTTATTAATATTAGGTAGAAAATGAAGGGTATCTTTGAGAGCAGAACTCAAGGAAGCAAGCAATTCGCCTTATGAGGAAAGAGTTACCTGTGGATAAAGGAGAAACTGAAAAATTTACAAGTCAAGACTTTTTGAGCAAAAGCAAAAATATGACTATTAGTCACCAATTCAGTAGAGTGAAAAAAAAAGTTGAAGAGATATCTTGGAAGTAAACCATGTTGTGGAAGAGCATGTAGGGTTTTGATAATCATGGGATGATTCTGAATTAATTTTAAATGCGATAGGAATATATGAGATAATTTCACCAGAGAATAACATGATTGTGTTTGCATTTCAAAGGGGTGTATCTGGTGCACTGTGTAGAATAAATAGGTTATGTGAGCAAATAAATTGGGAGGCTACTCTAATCCAGAGAAAAAAGGTAGTGACTTAGGTGAGAATGCTGTCAGGATGAGTGGTAGTAGTGGTGAGAAGTCGTTAGGCCATGGATGTATTTCATAGGACTGGCCAAGAGAACTGCAGCTAAATTGGAGTGTAGGGAGTGAAATGGAGAATTCAAAGATGACTCTCAGCACTAGAAGGTGACAGCTGTCATTGAAGCATGCTGATGCCTCTTATTAAGAGAGTTACTTGGGAATGGCAAGATCAAAACTTCTCACTTTCAAATTTATGAAAAATATTGTTTTCAGAACGAATGACTTTGGGATCAGAAAGCCACCATTCTAATTGATGGTTCCACGACTACACGGGCTCACACTCCCAAGAGCAAAAGTAAATCATCACAAAGGTGCTTCTTGATAATTCTAGAGAATGGAGAATTACTGTAACATCTTTCTGATTCTAGGAGAGGTAGCAGTTCCCTTTTTAGCCAAAACGCTATTTTTTTTGAAAGCTCAGCCAAGAGACTCCATTATAATTTTCAAATGTGTGTAACTTAAATTCTCATATGAAATACCACTATGCTTAAATTAGTCAAAACATTTTCCCCATCTACAACTCTATCTTGTCATTGCAATCATGTTCACAAAAGTGACTGCAGCTCACAGACCCTAAAAAGGAGAAAATCCAGGGTAGTTTATCTGATCTAGTTAGTTTCGAAGACAGGATCTAGAGATTATTTAATATGAAATAGGTCACCTGAAATGAAGTGTTTACTGAAAACAGCTTGGATCTGCCCAGTTTTCTACCACTGAACCATGCATTTGGTTTAAAAAACACAACAACTCTGGGGAATATCGGCTGCTTCCAACTGTGTTGAAGGTGTTAAAGAAAAGAGCATAAAATTAAAAATGATCATCTGAGGCCTTTATAGTCTCTGCTCAAGAGACAAGAGTCTTCCATTCTTAACAAAACACCCAAATATCTTAATAATTGGGCAAAATCTAAATATCAGAGATAATTTTATCTGGAAGATTGTTAAATTATAATGGTGATTCACTACCTCGCCACGTCTCTGAGTCAAAAATTAGGTTTTTGTTTAGGAATCAATGGTACTCTGCAACTTGGAAATAGGAAGATTTTAGAAGACTCAAACATTGACTTTCTTGTGTGCAAAAAAAAAGACATATTGAGATAAGACAAGTCTTTCCTTGCAAGGATACCTCTAATGCTCATACACCACCTCCCCTAACATTAATACAGCTTCCAGGTCACTAACCAGTGTCAGAGAGCAGCCCATGCAACTAGAAATTCAAAAGATGTCGAACATAGGGTCAAGCCTAGAATAAGAAGTCTTAGCTAATTAAGTATGCTTTTTTCCTGAAATTCATATTAACAAAAACTTGGACATGTCAGAGAATGCATTCTAAGTTCACTCAACCTAGGAGGGAGAAACATAATTTTAAATTAAGAGCTGAAGCATTCTTGTCCTAACACAAAGCAAGGAAAACGAAATATCACACCACAGGAGGGATTTCACAAATTAGTGTCAACATCAAAACCTTAAAATAGGCAAGGAGAATGCAGATTCACAATGAACTCCTGTACTTGTTTTGTTCAGAGAAGAGATGGTTCTGAGAGAATGACAGTGAACCAACCCCAGCTGGTTTAGTTGGTGCTTTCAACTGCTGCTTCTGATCAACTCCTTTAGCTAGAATAAATTGATGAGGATTTTGGCATGTGGTATTAGAGATGGTTATTAATTTTTTCCTCTTATTTGCATTGTTCAATGTAGTAAATACTAGCTGCTACTTCAATTCAAATTAATTACAATGAAATATACTTAAATGTTGAATTTTTTAGTCACTGATGGTTCATTATTGAATATCTTCAGCTAAGATTTCCCATCTAAATACACTAAGAGGTGGCTTAGTTAACTGGTCGTCCACAAATATTGAAGCTGTTGTTAACTCCTGATATATTCTCTGCAAAGAGAATATTCATGAGCCTCCTCCTGAAATCAGCAGCCCAGAGATAGTTTTATAAATTGGATACAAGTTGGAAATCTATATACTCTTTCAGTTTTTGAAATATTAGCTTCCCAGGGAAGAAAATCAAATTCATAAGATATGTTAGGACAATTTAACTCAAGATGTTCAAAACTGAAATGACATGTTCTACAATATGTGATAAAACCAACCCCTAACAACTTAAAGCAAAACAGGGATTGACCTTAAAGACCTGCCTTTTCCTCATGCCCCAGCCAATCAGTTTTCAAATCTCGCATTTTATTTTGAAAGGTCCTTATCCCCGGGTCTCTTGTTTCTAGACTTCGCACATATTTAAGTTTGTTACCTCTATCTACTGTCTTTTCTCTCTTCAAACAGTATCTATGCCTGCCAAATGTAAACATACAAAAAACAAATCAGAATATGCCATTCTGATTTAAACTGCTTATTAGTTAATACCCTCAAGATAACATCTGGGTTCTTAGCTGCAATGAGTCAAGCTTACTTACATCTTTTTTTCTCTTTGGCTGCACATTTCCTATCACATCACACTCCAGCAATACCAAGCTGTGCCGTCCTTCTACCCCATCTCCACTATTTTGCCCCCCACCGCCGTGGCTTTTCGCCCCCCGCCGCCGCGGCTTTTTGCCCCCATCCGCCGCGGCTCCCCCCCCCCCGCCTCGGCTTTTTGCCCGCCACGGCTTTCTGTCCCCCGCCGCCGCGGCTTTTTACCCCCTGCCGTCGTGGCTTTTTGCCCCACTGCCGCCGCGGCTTTTTGCCCCCACCCCGCCTCGGCTTTTTGCCCGCCGCGGCTTTGTTGTGACCCCCCTCGCCGCCGCGGCTTTATGTCCCCCCGCCGCCGTGGCTTTTTCCCCACGGCGGTTTTTTGCACCCCCCCCCCGCCGCCTCGGGTTTATGCCCACCGCGGCTTTTTGCACCCCGCCGCCGCAGCTTTTTGTCCGCCGCGGCTTCTGCGCCCCCGCCGCCGAGGCTTTTTGTTGCCGCGGCTTTTTACCCGCTCCAGCTTTTTGCCCCACCGCCGCCGCGGGTTTTTGCCCGCCCCGGCTTATTGCCCGCCCCCAGCTTTTTGCCCCCACGGCGCCGCGGGGTTTTGCCCGCCCCGGCTTTTTGCCCACCCCCGCCCCCGCGGCTTTTTGTTCCCCGCCACCACGGCTTTTTGCCGGTCACGGCTTTTTGCCCCCCCGCCACCGCAGCTTTTTGCCCCCCCGCCACCGCGGCTTTTTGACCCCAACGCCGCGGCTTTTTCCCCCACGCCGCCGCCCCTTTCTGCCCGCCACGGCTTTTTCCCCCGCGCCGCCGTGGCTTTTTGCCCGACCCGGCTTTTTGCCCGACCCGGCTTTTTACCCCCCCGCCGGTGCCGCACTTATTTGCCCGCAGCGGCTTTTTGCACCCCCGCCGCCGCGGCTTTTTGTCCCCCTCGCCGCCGCTGCTTTTTGCGGGCCGCGGCTTTTTGCCCCCCCGCCGCGGGTTTTCTGCCCCCATGCAGCCGAGGCTTTTTGCCCCCCCCGCCGCCGCGGCTTTTTGTCCCCCGCCGCCGCGGCTTTCTGCCCGCTGCGGCTTTTTGCACCCCGCCGCCATGGCTTTCTGCCCACCGCGGCTGTTTGCCCCCCGCCCCCACGGCTTTCTGCCCACCGCGGCTTTTTGCCCCCTGCTGCCGCGGCTTTTTGCCTCCACGGCTTTTTGCCAGACCCGGCTTTTTGCCCCCTGCCGCCGCGGTTTTTTGCCGGCCGCGGCTTTTTGCCCCCCGCCCCCAGGACTTTCTGCCCGCCGCGGCTTTTTGCCCCCTGCCACTGCGGCTTTTTTTGCCTCCGCGGCTTTTTGCCCCCCCCGCCGCCGTGGCTTTTTGCCGCCGCGGCTTTTTCCCCCCAGCCGACGCGGCTTTTTGCCCCCCAGCCACCGCGGCTTTTTGCCCCCCCCCCACCCGCCGCCGCCGCGGTTTTTTGCCCCCCCCCGCCACCGCGGCTTTTTGCCCGCCGCGGCTTTTTACCCCCTGCCGCCGCGGCTTTTTGCTTGACCCAGCTTTTTGCTCCTCCCACCGCTGCCGCTTTTTGCCCGCCCCGGCTTTTTGCCCCCCACCCGCCCCGGTGCCGCGGTTATTTGCCCGTCGCGGCTTTTTGCACCCCCGTCGCCGCGGCTTTTTGCCCCTCTTCCGCCGCGGCTTTTTCCCCGCCCCGGCGTTTTGCCCCGCCGCCGCCGCGGCGTTTTGCCCGCCCCCGCCGCGGCGTTTTGCGCGCCTCGCCTTTTTGTCCCCCCGCCGCCGCGGCTTTTTCCCCGCCCCGGCTTTCTGCCCGCCTCTGCTTTCTGCCCCCCGCCCCAACGGCTTTCTGCCCGCCGCGGCTTTTTGCCCCCGCCGCCGCGGCTTTTTGCATCCCCGCCGCCGTGGCTTTTTGCATCCCCGCCGCCGTGGCTTTTTGCCCGCCGCGGCTCTTTCCCCCCACCGCCGCGGCTTTTTGTCGCCGCGGCTTTTTGCCAGCCGAGGCTTATCCTACGCCGCCGCGGCTTTTTGCCCGACCCGGCTTTTTGCTCCCCCGCCGCCGCGACTTTTTCACCCCCGCCGCCGTGGCTTTTTGCCGCCCCGGTGCCGCGGTTATTTGCCCGTCGCGGCTTTTTGCACCCCCGTCGCCGCGGCTTTTTGCCCCCTGCTGCCGCGGCTTTTTGCTCGACCCGGCTTTTTGCCCCCTCCCCCACCGCCGCGGCTTTTTCACCCCCGCCGCCGCGGCTTTTTGCCCCCCCGGTGCCGCGGTTATTTGCCCGTCGCGGCTTTTTGCACCCCCGTCGCCGCGACTTTTTGTCCCCCTGCCGCCGCGGCTTTTTGCCCCCCTGCCGCCGCGGCTTTTTGCCCCCCTGCCGCCGCGACTTTTTGCCGCCGCGACTTTTTGCCTCCGCGGCTTTTTGCACGACCCGGCTTTTTGCCCCGCCGCCGCGGCTTTTTGCATCCCCGCCGCCGCCGTGGTTTTTTGTCGCCGCGGCTTTTTGCCCCCCCGCCGCCGCGGCTTTTCGCCCCCCACGGCTTTTGCCTCCCCGCTGCCACAGCTTTTTGCCCCCCGCCGCCGCGACTTTTTGCCCCCCTGCCCCCCCGGATTTTTCCCCCCTGCGGACGCGGCTTTTTGTCGCCCCTCCCCCACCCCTCCCCCCCCGCCGCCGCGGCTTTTTACCCCCCGCCGCCGCGGCTTGTTGCCGGCTGCGGCTTTTTGCCCCCTCCCCCCCTCTGCCACTGTGGCTTTTTGCGTCTTTGTGCCCCTGCCGCCGTGGCTTTTTGCCCGCGCCACCACTGCTTTTTGCACCTTTTTGCCCCCGCCGCCGCGGCTATTTGCCCCCCGCCGCCGCGACGTTATATGGTTTTTTGCTCCCACTGCTTTTTGCCTCCGCCACCGCGGCTTTTTGCCCCCCCCACCACCGCAGCTTTTTGCGCGTCTCGGCTTTTTGCCCCACCAGCGCCGCGGCTGTTTGCCCCCTGCCACCACGGCTTTTTCCCCGCCTCGGCTTTTTGCCCCCCCCCGCCGCCTCGGGTTTATGCCCGCCGCGGCTTTTTGCCCCCCGCCGCCGCGGCTTTTTGCCCCATGGCCATCCTCAGAAGTGTGAGTGGAACAGAGTGAAGGGAAAGCTGTTTTCTTCGAAAGCTCAAAAATCTTGAACTTTCAAATAGGGATAAGTGTTATTTTTGCTCCAAGCACACATTTGAGAAATCTTCCATTTAGCGGATCTGATGATAAACCCACATTTTTGTTTGTTTTAATCTGAAAATGTATTTGTATGGTTCTTGGAAATATTTTTTCATATAAAATTATAGTGTATCAGCTTATTTCAAGTTTTATTTACCATTTGATAATTACTCCTAAAATGTCATTGATTAAAGAATCATCTATTGCTCCAACTGCCCTTTACTAAAGGTAATTTGTCTTTTTAACCTCATCAGGCTCCTTTTAAGCTCTCAAACTGACCTTTTTTTTTTTTTACAGATTCAATGCATTAAGTCAATTTATTACTTATGATGAATTTATTTATGTATTTATTTTCGCTAACACAAGTAGAAAAAGCCTATAAGTTGCTATGCCAAAAACCTGCCTCTAGATGGCAAACAAACCCCGCAATACACAAAAGAGAGCCAAATTCTTAGAAACCCTGGGAAAGGAAGAGGGCTACTGTCCCATTAACAACTTGGAGCCCTTAAGGCAAGAATGAGGTGGAACATCTGGAACATCTGGGAGGAGACACAAGGGTGCGGAGTAGTGGGGAACCTGCTCTGTGCTCTGAGACTGAAAGCCCAGCCTTGCCTCTCACCGCTGCCTTGACTGTGTCCCCATCTGCTGTGAAGTGAATGGTGTCTTCTAAATTCGTGCTGAGCCCTAATTGCTGAAAACTGTAAGACATGCAATGGGGGGATTATGTGCATCTTCCCGACACCAACATGATGCTCAGGAAGGAGACTTCTTGTTTTCTCTTAGGATTCTTTTACTAACCAAGATTTTGCCTCTACTGCATATTTCCCTTTGCTGATTGTCCCTCCCTTTTGACAGAAGATGGCCCAGGGCATTCACTACTAAGTCTCAACCTCTTACCCAAAGCCCTCAGTCTAGTGTTGCTCTTTCCTTCGTGCTATTTTTGTTTCTTTCTTTTCTTGTAATCATCTTGGCAATAAAATAATCAGTTTTTTCTTTCTACCTATTAAAGATGTTACCTTAGTTAATTACAGGGGTTTCCTTCAGAATGATAAATGGTCTTTCAAAATGATGTAAAGAGATCTAAATCCGTGTGCTCCAGAACTTGAATGAAGCTCTGTCTAGCGCGGGTGCCAGTGACTCTCCCAAAGTGCTCCATGCAGCTGGACCCACAGAGTCCCTCTGTGCTGTCATATCACCCACTGCCTTCTGTGAATGAGATATTCTGATTAGAATCCTGGTGGATGCTATTTGAGCCAGTGCCCCCACAACTCCTATGAAAGCTGAGGACCACAGGCCCCTGAAGACAATCACAGGTCTCTAGACTCACAGCTCATGACCGTCCTCTGCAGACACAGCTTCTCCCCGGATGGCTGAGGGTTGTCATTGGCTGTGTCCTTCCTTGTGCATGACAACAGGAGACATAGAAGGTCTGTAAGCAGCCCTGCAAGCCAGGTTCTGAGCAAGCCCTCCTGTGTGGGGCCCTCTTACCTGGACATAGGTGTGTAAACCAAAAATGAAACTCTAAGCTCCCTAACCAACTGAATGAACTCCTCCTCTCAGCCAAGCACACACCAAAATCAACCTGAAATACAATGCAGCCCATGATCGGAACGGATGATTGGATATGCCTTAACTTACCCTCTTCCCTTTAAAATTCAGGCACAACTGACCAGCTTTTAATATGAAGACAGAGACCTTGAGACTGACAAAGAAAACTCTTTATAGCAATAAGATACCAATGTGACAGATACCACGTCCTAAGAGAAATCAAAGTATTTTCCCCAAGATATTGTTATTTAATGTATTGAAAAATGCCTCTGCAAAGCTGGTTCTTGTGGGAAAAATCTACATTCTGTAGAGACTCCTTTTTAAGTCTCTTTCCTGACCCAGAGAGATTTAACTAAGAGTTTGGCACCTTTTAAGTCTACTAAGAAACAATTACAATCTATTCTCTCTGAAGCCTGCTACCTGGAGGCTCCATCTGCATGATGCAACCTTGGCTCCAAAACCCTTTTTCTAAACCCAGAAACTCCCTTGTGTTGATTACAGGTCATTAGATAAACTCTTTCAACCATCTATGAAATCTTTGAATCCACCTATGACCTGGAAGTCCCCAACATCCCCCCTCCTTCGGGCTGTCCTGCCTTTTCATATCAAAGCAATGTACAGCTTACACGTATTGATTGATATCTTATGTCTCCCTAAAACGTGTAAAACCAACCTGTAGCCCGACGACCTTTGACACACGTTCTCAAGACCTCCTGAGGCTGTTTCACTGATATTTCTTTAACTTTGACCAAGTAAATTTCTAAACTGATTGAGACTTTTCTCAGATACTTATTTGTTTATAGGTATCACTGGATACACTTAAGGAATTGAAGAGATTTATGACATTGAGAAAAGGAGGAAGCCAGGGTGTGTGGACATAGAGAGAGAGAGAGAGAGAGAGAGAGAGATTGTGATGTATGTACAGGACTAACACTGAGACCTGGTTATGTAATGGTGTAGTACTGAGTATCATCCCCAAATAGTGAGGTTTCATTCCATGAAGACTATGCATGTATCTCATTTGGGAAAACAGCTTTTGCAGGTGTAAATTAAGGAGCTTGAAACAGGGAGATGGTCTTAGATTAATCAACTGGGACTTAAATGCAAACTCAAGTGTCCTAAAAAAAACAAGAGGTAGAGAGACATTTAGCATAGACTGAAGTGGAGAAGGCAGTGTGAACACAGAGACAGAGATTGCAGTGATGTGTCCACATCCCGGGAGAGAGAAGCCACCAGAAGCTGGAAGAGCTAAATCAGACTGCTCCCTAGAGCTTCAGAAGGAGCCAGAACTGATGACTCCAAGATCTTAGCCCAGTGAAACTGATCTGGACTTCTGAACTATGAGAGATTCCATTCCTGTTGTTTGAAGCTACCACATTTTTGAGAACTTGTTACAGTAGCCCGAGGACACTAACACAAATGGGCTCCAGGAAAATCCAGACTAAAGGTGTTGTGTTGGTTTGCAATCTCCTTGCTTAACTTTCTGATACTAGACGTAAATAGATTGGTGAAAAATTTTGTGATTGAAGAAATGTACATGAAACCTACAGTGTACAGAGAAGCATCTGTTAGTTATAAGATAAATACTGATAATTTTAGTTGAAAATGACATATGACTGTTAATATCTCACATAACATTCTGAGTTACTCAAGAATGCATAAAAGAGGCACTAGATACTCTTCTCATGTATGTGTGTGTGTCTGTCTATACATGGATGTACACTTCATGGTGCATCAGCTGGCGGAACCCTCAGGACACCCCTTCACATCCTCAGTGCCCCATTTCACACATGAGGAAACTGTTCATGACAGCACATGGCTGATTTGCATAAAAGTCACTTGGTCAGCAGTTGTCGAAGCTGAAATTGGAATCTAGGTCTGTCTGACCTTAACTTATGTTCCTTCCACAGAGCCACATTCATTCCATAGAGGGACCCACCACCTATAAAACCAGAAAAGAGACAAAGCCAGAAGTGCAGGGTGGATTTCTTAACACAAGCTCACTGCGACCTCTAGTCCTCATCACGCTGACACTAAGCTTAAACCCAGACCCTTCTACAGTTTTGTCTACAAAGCACAATTGCCCAAAGCCTTTACAAACACCAACAGCCTTTCTTTCAGATATGGCAGCAGGGTCACATCTTACACGGCCCTGACCACATTTTGTCTCCTCTGCCATCCCCATCTCTCTGACTCAGTCCTCGCTTGCAGCCATGAAAAAGGATGAGTTCATGTCCTTTGTAGGGACATGGATGAAGCTGGAAACCATCATTCTCAGCAAACTATCGCAAGGACAAAAAACCAATCACTGCATGTTCTCACTCATAGGTGGGAATTGAACAATGAGAACACTTGGACACAGGAAGGGGAATATCACACACCGGGGACTGTTGTGGGGTGTGGGGAGGGGGGAGGGATAGCATTAGGAGATATACCTAATGTAAATGACGAGTTAATGGGTGCAGCGCACCAACATGGCACATGTATACATATGTAACAAACCTGCATGTTGTGCACATGTAACCTAGAACTTAACAATAATAATAATAATAAAAAGAATGGGTCTTGTACATCCAATTTGCCCTATGAATGTTAAAACAGCAAACCCGCATCCCCTTCCTCTTCTCATGTGCTGTGAGAGATGACCTCCAGGCTCTCAGATACCAAGATTGTACAAGACCTAACCCAGAGAATTACTCAAGACACTTTCTACGTAAGAAGAATTGTGGTACTAGCTCTCCTCATAGAAAAATGTTTTCTGTCTCTTGTTGAAATTGACAGCAAACACAAAAACACAGAACTACTTGGGAGAACAGAGGACAGTGATACACTAGGGAAGTAAAACACACCCCTTCCCCTTGCATTGGTTTCCTGTTGCTGCTGTAACAAATTACCACAACTTTACTGCTCCACATCACACAAGTGTATTATCTTACATTTCTGGAGGTCAGAAGTCTCAATGAAGTAAAATCAAGGAGTAATAGGGCTCTATTCATTCTAGGCTTCAAGAGAGAGAATCCAATGTCGAGCATTCCATCTTTCTGATGTTCCCACATTCCTAGCAGCATGGCCCCTTCCTCCATCACTCCAGTTTCCCTGTCCATTGTCCCAGGTCCTCTCTGGCTGTTACCTTCCTCCCTCCCTATTGTAAGGACCCTTGTGATTATGATGGTCTCACCCAGATAATTCAGGATATTCTCCTGACCTCAAAATTCTCAACCACGTCTGCCAAGTTATTTTTGACTTGTTCATAAGTAATGATCATAGATTCCAGATATTAGGACAATGATGTCTTTAGTGGGTGTATTATTCATTCCACAAACAACTCTCATCATCCACACAATGGCCTTCCCCTAAGGTAGAATAAAAATATCACAAGGCAGATTTATGAGGCGATCGACCTAGAAAAAACATGAGACTCTAGGACTGTCTGATGTGTGGATGTCAAATCCTGGGAGATTCTGAGCCTCTGCTCTATGTGGACTCTATGTTGTGTAGCCATTTGTGGAAGGCTTCTGTGATTTTGTGACCTAGAGAAAACGAATCTCTGCTAAAATCAAATCTAAGAAAGATTGGCAAAGGGAATTTAAAGATTTCCTAAATTTTTGGAATTTCCCTAGGCATTAAAACATGAGAAGTGGCAATAATTCAAACCAACGATGCCCTCCAAGAATGAGGATTTTTCCAATGCATTAGGTTGGGTCCCCTCAGTGAGAAGGATGCCAAAGATTCGCATGCAGGCAGTATATTTACAAAGTGCGGGAAACAAGCAAGTGAGCAAGGGAGGGGAGGAGGGAAAGGGAAAGTGAAAAGTGCCTCAGAAGGAGCCACCTCTGAGGATGACGAGCGCTCAAGCCCACATAGAAACACAGGAAAAATGCCTCTGTTATTCCACCTGAGAGGTGAGGGAGCTGGGGGATGTGTACACCTCCCTTGTCATCACTGATTGACAACCGTCCTAGGGGATGCTAATTCCAGGCCATGAGGTCTGCCTCATTTGCAGCCTGAGCTGCTTCCCCAGGTTCAGATAGAGCAGTGAAGGGGAGAAAGGGCCATAGAGAGTCAGCTGAAGTATAATGTCTAGAATCCCCAAGGCATAGTAACAATGACTGCTAAAATTATGCACAAAGAAAAAGTGCATTTGAATCCAGAGATGTATCTCTCTGAATCTGGATATATGGATCCTGGCAGCCTGTTTGGTAGCCATTTCCCAGAAATCCAGTCCTCTGGAAAAGCAGGAGGAGGTTTGTGCATAGGCTGCACTACCTTGGTCTGGCCATGCGTAGTCGTGCATGAGAACTACTCCCTGGAGTATTTCTCAGTCCACTGACACTGATGTAATTGGCTCCACTTCCCCTGCTGTTGAGCCAGGCCGACACGCCCTGGGCAAAGGCATCTGCGTGAAGTATTGAGGTTCAAATCAGTGCTTAAGATATGTTTGGATGCAAAACACTTTTTCATCTACATGGGCAGTGTCTTGGCAGAGGATGGAGATTCTCTCTAAATGCATGTGAGACAGGGTGGCTGGCATCTGGGTCAGGATGATGCCCTGGTGCATGGCAAGAACATGCCTTGTGCAGCAGCTGCCCTCGCTAAGGAGAGAGGCTCACTGACCTGGCTTTTCCCCCTCACCTGCTCTCCAGAAAGCCAGACTCTAGGGCAGATGCTCCTGAGACCCCAGGAACAGGCTGGTGGGGAGCGCAGCTCAGAGCATTACTCAGGGGATGTGGCCTTTGTCATCCTACTTTGAAACAATTGACTATTTGGGCCTAGATTGATACAGGGCTTCAAGTTGATTTTAATCCAGGCTCCTATAGTCAGCGAGTGAAACAGAGATTTTAGTTGAAATAATGAGACCTGGTATTACTAGTCAGCTCTCCATGCTGGAGAACCATAAGAAATTATACCAAAGGCAGGAAAGGGGATAGAATATGGGGATCATCACACCAAGAATAAGGTGCAGCCCATTTAGCCCCTGGGT
Source organism: Homo sapiens (assembly GCF_000001405.40). Taxonomy (NCBI): domain Eukaryota; kingdom Metazoa; phylum Chordata; class Mammalia; order Primates; family Hominidae; genus Homo; species Homo sapiens. Next base: position 38,361 of record NT_187367.1, read on the forward strand.
CTTAAAGAGACCCATAGCTCTGGATAATGGCAGATCTATGCGTGACACAGTTATCATCTTTGTGCATCTTCAGAGAATTGTTTTTCCTTTTACTCCTAGGGACAATGTCTTAAGTTTGTTAGTAAATTCTATTGAATTTATTAAAGATGCTTCTGATAAATTCTTTTTATATTCATTTCAAACAAGAAGCAATTTCACACTGACATTGTTATTATAGCACTAAATACTTTTACACTCATCAAATTCCTTTGAGACTAACTGAAATTTCTGACAGCCCCACATTCTACAACTTTATTGTAAATTTTCTGCCAAAAATGATGCTTTCCTATACACTCCTAATACAAGTATAAATATATTATTTAATCTAGTCTTAGGTTGATTTAAAATTTTGAAAATTCACTCCAAACATATGTTCTGTAACCATATGGCCACCAATGAGAAATGCATTCTTTCAAGGTAAATCTGTGCTGCCCTGGTTTGACCTGGGACTCTGGGGATACTGCGCCCCTGTGCTGAGTTACTGAGATGAGCCAGCCCTGCAGCTGTGCTCAGCCTGCCCCATCCCCTGCTGATTTGCCTGTTCCTAGAGCACAGCCCCCTGCCCTGAAGACTTTTTATAGGCTGGTCACACCCGGTGCAGGAGTCAGCCCCAGTCAGGACACAGCACAGACATGAGGGCCCCCACTCAGCTCCTGGGGCTCCTGGTGCTCTGGCTGCCAGGTAAGGAAGGAGAACACTAGGATTATACTCGGTCAGTGTGCTCAGTACTGTCTGGAACTTCAGGGAAGTCCTCTGATAACATGATTAATTGCGACAATATTTGTTTTTATGTTTCCAACTTCAGGTGCCAGATGTGACATCCAGATGACCCAGTCTCCATCCTCCCTGTCTGCATCTGTAGGAGACAGAGTCACCATCACTTGCCGGGCGAGTCAGGGCATTAGCAATAATTTAAATTGGTATCAGCAGAAACCAGGGAAAACTCCTAAGCTCCTGATCTATGCTGCATCCAGTCTGCAAAGTGGGATTCCCTCTCGGTTCAGTGACAGTGGATCTGGGGCAGACTACACTCTCACCATCCGCAGCCTGCAGCCTGAAGATTTTGCAACTTATTACTGTCAACAGAGTGACAGTACCCCTCCCACAGCGTTACAAGTCATAACATAATCCCCAAGGAAGCAGATGTGTGAGGCTGGGCTGCCCCAATGCTCCTTCCGGTGCCTCTATCTGCTGAGGGAAGTTCTCAAACTCAGTCAGGTTTGGAAAGTCATTGGGAGATTTTCCTAGAGGAGGCCAGGGAGGTTCCTCTGAACCCTAAGCCTCTTTCACCCTCATCCCCAGCAGAAAAGATGTGACAATGCCTGTCCTGACTGAATAAAGAAGAGAGATAAGTCCAACTGAGGAGTCTGTGTTATGGGATAATTGGAATTTGTACAGCAAAAGAGAAGCTATTCTCAGTATTTCAAGGAGAAATTATTCAAGTTGAATAAATTAGAGCCTAAACCACAGTCTTTCCGAAGCCTATGGAATGTTATTCATGAAGCAGGTACTAGACACAGGGGATTCTCAGGTGCTACTTCAGAAGCCAGGGTGCACCTGCCCCTGGTGGTATGTGTTGAACACCGTGTGATGATCCTCAGTCCTGTCTGGGAAGCCCAGGTCTTCCCAGACAGGAATGCTTTGATAAATCCACTGCTAGGTAGGTAATTCTTCTGTAACATTAATAATTCGGTTTTACTTTTGGATCCTAAAGTGGAACTACTTAGAAAATCTGCAAAAATCATGCAAAGAAAATCATGTAAAATCATGATCTTTACTTAGGCACTTACAGGTGAAATGACGAGGTATCTGGAATTGCATTAAAATAGATCAAGGTGAAAAAGACTGACAAAAACATTAACTGTTAAAACTTGGGGCTATATATCAAAGACATTAGTTTCTCTATGAGTATATTTCAAATTTTCCTCAATAAATTTTTTAAAAATTCAATTTAAAATTCAAGCCACAAATAAATGCTTTTTAAAAATTTCTTAGATTATACAAATAGTGCCATAACATCAAGAATAATCCCAAATCATTCCATATACTTCAAAAGATACAAAACCAGGCTGGGTGCGGTGGCTCACGTCTGTAATCCCAACACTTTGGGAGGCCGAGGTGGGCGGATCACCTGAGGTTGTGAGTTTGAAACCAGTCTGACCAACATGGAGAAACCCCGTCTCTACCAAAAATACAAAATTAGCTGGGTGTGGTGGTGCATGCCTGTAATCCCAGCTACTGGGGAGGCTGAGGCAGGAGAATCACTTGAACTCGGGAAGTGGAGGTTGCAGTGAGCCGAGATTGTGCCATTGCACTCCAGCCTGGGCGACAAGAGCAAAACTCCATCTCAAAAAAAAAAAAAAAAAAAAAAAAAAAAAAGACACAAAAGCAGGAACTCTTTTCCAGGAGCAATCCCATTTAGTTAAGAAAAAGAAGAAAAAAATATTCCCTAGATTCAGCCAGTTCCTTATCTCTACTGTCCTTCAGAGTCAAATTTCTTAAAAAAATAAGCAACTCTGCCAGGCGTGGTGTCTCACGTCTGTAATCCCAACACTTTGGGAGGCCAAGGAGGGCGGATCACAAGGTCAAGGGATCGAGACCATCCTGGCCAAGATGGTGACACCCCATCTCTACTAAAAATACAAAAATTAGCCCAGCGTGGTGGCACACGCCTGTAGTCCCAGCTACTCAGGAGACTGAGGCAGGAGAATGGCTTGAACCCAGGAGGCGGAGGTTGCAGTGAGCCGAGATCACGCCACTGCACTCCAGCCTGGTGACAGAGCAAGACTCTGTCTCAAAGAAAAAAATAATAATAATAAGCAACTCCATCTCTCCCCACTTCATCCTTCTCAGCCCTCGGTCCTCTGTGATCTGGCTCATGTTCCTGCTGCCTTACTGAGGCTGCTTTAGTAAGGGTACTAGTAAGCTTCCAACTGGCAACTCCAAATGACTATTTTCAGTATACAACTTACTTGGAGTCTACTTAGCATCTTCAGTTATTGAACTTCCTCCTTTAACTCACTTCCAAAATACTACTCTCTCCTCCTTCCTTCTCTATTTCTTTGTTGGCTCTTCTTCCTCTGCCTTCTCTTCAAATATTTCTACTTCCTCTCACTCCTTCTAGTTCTCTTTTCTGTTTCCACAATACTTGTTCTATCAACTACTCCTTTCACTTCATTCACAATAATACTGATGATTCCCAAGCATATATCTCTCATCATGCGTCCCCCTCACATATCTGCTCTTTAATTCTTCTTTTTAATTCATTGGATACCTTCTAAAAGTCTCTCACAATTCAGATAGTCCTTCAAGCCAGGAACATGGGAGTCATTCTCAAATTATCTTTCTCACTCACCCCCTGTCCCATCTCCAAATTTTTATATAAGCTTCAGATTTCATGGACTGTACTTAAAAATTTTTTATAGTTGATGTGTCTCTATTTCAGCAGCTACTGTGTTATCATTTCTCATCTTAGACTATTACAATCTTTCTGGCTGTGTTTACAGATCTTTCCAGTCCACCCCCACACTGAGGTCAGGAGATCTTTCTAAAATGTATTTCATACTCTATCTTGCTTAAAACTTTCAAGTGCTTAACAACTAAATGCAGTATATATTTCCAGATTGGATCCTGGACCAGGGGAAAAAAAAAGCTATAAAGATCCTTTTTAGAACATCTGAATATAGACTATATCAGATAATAGAATATCAATGTTACATTTCTTTAACTTGGTAATGTACTATAATCACATAAGGAAATGTCCTTGCTCTTAGGAAATATACACAGAGGTAGTTAGGGACAAACTAGCAAATGATTTAGGGGAAAAAGTGATACCTACAGAGAGAGCAAACACAATAAAGCAAATATAGCAAAACATTTTCAATTGGTGAATCTGGGTAAAGGGTATACAAGATTCTTGCAACTCCTCTATTAGTTTGAGATCATTTTAGATAAAATATTTTTGGCTGGGCATGGTGACTCACGCCTATAATCACGGCACTTTGAGAGGCTATAGCAGGAGGTCTGCTTGAGCCCAGGAGTTCCAGACCAGCCCTGGCAACAGGGTGAGACCCTGTCTCTCTAAAAAATTAAAAATTTGTCTGTGTGGACTGGAGTATATCTGTATTCCCAGCCACTTGGGAGGCTGAAGTGGAAGGATCACTTGTGCCCAGAAGGTTGGCACCACAATGAACAATGACTGTGCCACTGCACTACAGCCTGGGCAACAGAGCAAGACCCTGTCTCAAAAAAAAAATTTAAACCTCCCACATTCCCTGTTACATGTAAGATAAAAGTTTGAACTCCTTGGTTAGGCTCTCTGTGATCTGACTCTTGCCCCCTCTACCATTATCGGTCATCAACTGAGAGGAGGACCACAACCAACATCCTACTCTCCACACACAAAGATTACAAATTTCTGAACACACCAAACTGCTTTGTTCCATGTCAAACATGTTCTCTCTACTTCCTGCACCTTGTCTGTCTGACAAGCACCTTCTTATTTGATGCTATTCAAGCCTCACCTCCTCTTACTCTGCACTCCTTTCTACTTTCCTCTTCCAGATGAAAATAACCACTCCAGGCCACGCATAGTGGTTCACGCCACCCAGCACTTTGGGAGGCTGAGGCAGACGGATCACAAAGTCAAGAGATTGAGACCATCCCAGCCAACATGGTGAAACCCCGTCTCTACTAAAAATACAAAAATTAGCTGGACATGGTGGCGAGTGCCTGTAATCCCAGCTACTCGGGAGGCTGAGGCAGGAGAACTGCTTGAACCCAGGAGGCAGAGGTTGCAGTGAGCCAAGATCGTGCCACTGCACTCCAGCCTGGCAACAGAGCAAAACTCCGTTTCAAAAAAAAAATCTCAAATACTCGGCCAGGTACATTGGCTCACCCCTGTAATCCCAGCACTTTGGGAGGCTGAGGTGGTGGATGATTACCTGAGGTCAGTAGTTCAAGACCAGTCTGACCAATATGGTGAAAACCCTGTCTCTACTAAAAATGCAAAAAAATTAGCCGGGCATGGTGGCATGCGCCTGTAGTCCCAGCTACTCCGGAGGCTGAGACAGGAGAATTGCTTGAGCCCGGGAGGCGGAGGTTGCACTGAGCCGAGATCACACCACTGCACTCCAGCCTAGGCAACAAAGCAGGACTCCACCTCAAAAAAAAAAAAAAAAAAAAATCTCACTACTCCCAAATTATGTATTTTTAAAAATGTTTTTTATTTTTTATTTTTTTTATTTTTTTTGAGATGGAGTCTTGCTCTGTCGCCCAGGCTGGAGTGCAGTGGTGCAATCTCGGCTCACTGCAAGCTCCGCCTCCTGGGTTCACACCATTCTCCTGCTTAGCCTCCCAAGTAGCTGGGACTACAGGTGCCCGCCACCATGCCTGGCTAATTTTTTTATATTTTTAGTAGAGATGGGGTTTCACCGTGTTAGCCAGTATGGTCTTGATCTGACCTTGTGATCTGCCCGCCTCAGCCTCCCAAAGTGCTGGGTTTACAGGCGTGAGCCACAACGCCCAGCCTAAAAATGTTTTTTTCTTTCCATGTCCCTGATACAGCTTTTCATCAACTTTCCCAAAGTATGAAAAGAAACACGTATTTTTCACTAAGAGGTCAACCTATTTTCAATCTCTTACACCATTCTATATGTTGATGAACGTAAGTTCTAATAAAATTTTATCTGTTTCTCATTACTCATAAATATCATCTATTTATCTAATTGCATCTAAATGCTATTTTATTGCAAATATCCCATTCACCAACTTCAAAAAGAGAAAAACAAAACAAGCATCATTAAAAACAAAGCAAGAAAGTAGCAAAATAGATAATTCCAATATCACCTATAAGTACTCAGTTATCTTAAACAAATGAACTCAGATTGTCGACAAAAAAATCCAAGGCCCATTCATTAAAGCAAATAAATAACTCATATAACATCTAAAAATCTCACTCATGACCTATTTTCCTTTACTTGTGACCCAAATTTAGTTACTGGAGTATCTTAGACACTAGCAAAATAGAAAGGTAAGACAAGCTTCTGGACAGATTGTAACGGCAGACAGCAAAGAAACAAAATACACAAAAAAAGTCTATAGGCTGGGCGCGGTGGCTCACGCCTGTAATCCCAGCACTTTGGGAGGCCAAGATTGGGGGATCATGAGGTCAGGAGATCGAGACCATCCTGGCTAACATGGTGAAACCCCATCTCTACTAAAAATACAAAAAATTAGCCAGGTGTGGTGGCGGGCACCTGTAGTCCCAGCTACTTGGGAGGCTGAGGCAGGAGAATGGCGTGAACCTGGGAGGTGGAGCTTGCAGTGAACCGAGATTGCACCACCTCACTCCAGCATGGGCAACAGAGCGAGACTCCGTTTCAAAAAAAAAAGTCTATATAGAATCTTAACATAGTCTGCTAGAACAATTTTTTTCTAAAGAAAATACATCAAATTGAATAATATTAAATGACAGGAAAAGGAGTAAACATTATAGAAACCTCCTTTAAAAATTAAAAACTATTTCAACTTTAAAATGAATGGGTATTAACAGCTCAGGGAGCACATCTGCTTCTTCAAAACAGGCAGAGTAGGAAAAAAATGTTGCTAATTTTTAAGAAATCATATAAATCAATTTTTTGATCGTTATCAAACTATTCATAATAAAATTAACATATTACAACCATTCATACAAATGTTTACTACAGACACACCTGAACTCAAGCAGTATTAACATTTCAATTTATTTTAGGAATGATGAAAAAATTATTCCAACATTTAAGAGACCACCATTTTGGCCAGGCCCAGTGGCTCACACCTGTAATCCCAGCACTTTGGGAAGCCGAGGTGGGCAGATCACCTGAGGTCAGGAGTTCGAGACCAGCCTGACCAACATGGAGAAACCCCGTCTCTACTAAAAATACAAAATTAGCTGGGTGTGGTGGTGCATGCCTGTAATCCCAGCTACTGGGGAGGCTGAGGTGGGAGAATTGCTTGAACCGGGTGGTGGAGGTTGCGGTGAGCCAAGATCGCACCATTGCACCCCAGCCTGGGCAACAAGAATGAAACTCCATCTCAAAACAAACAAAAAAGAACACCACTTTTCATTTTACTGAATTACCTTTCCTGTTTAAGAGCATACTCCAACATTTTGATCCTCCTCACAAGATCCTTCTTCAAATTTTCTTGGCCCTTCCTTTCTTCCTGTAGGAAGGTAATCTGGGCCTGAGTAGGGGAAAGACAGACAAAATTCAGTTTAGACCAAAAAAAAAAACAGTTTTTTTTTAACTCAGTAAAGAACCTTTGGAAGTTAGAACAATTAGATGCAAAAATATTTCCTTTACACATTTCTCACAAAGCATGTAGAAATATAAAAATGCACTGACTGCAAGGGGGAAAAAGGATTTAAGTTAAAAAGGGCGGGGGGACATCTAAATGCATTGTACTTCAGGGTAGGGATTTTACAACACATAGTCCACATCAATTAAGAGTCTACAATATAAAACAACTAATACTGCCGGGTGTGGTGGCTCACACCTGTAATCCCAGCACTTTGGGAGGCTGAGGCGGGTGGATCACTTGAGGTCAAGAGTTCAAGACCAGCCTGACCAACATGGTGAAACCCTGTCTCTACTAAAAATACAAAAATTAGCCGGGCCTGATGGCACCTATAATCACAGCTACTCGGGAGGCTGAGGCAGAAGAATTGCTTGAACCCAGGAGGCAGGGGTTGCAGTGAGCCGAGATTGCGCCACTGCACTCCATCCTGGGTAACAGAGTGAGACTCCATATTAAAAAATAAAACAACTAATATTAATACAAACAAATGCAAGGTGTACAGTACAGTTTGCTAAAGCGTTTGTCTTTTTGCCATCAACAAGATCTTTTTATAAAGCAGGAAGGGTTAAAGTAAAATCAGTTCTTATAATCCCCTTGCACAAGCTTCATCATATATTTAAATTTTATGACAGATTCCTTAAGTGACTTTATTTTGGACCTCCCCTACAAAAAATAAATTGCTCCCTTTTCTCAATCCCCACCATTTTTCTCACCCACCTTGACATGTAATCCATAGAAAAAAGAAAGTGAAAGTTGGGAAAAGGAAAATTAGAGACAATGGCCTTCTGCCCATTCCTGCCCCCCACCCCAAGGAATTACTAAAACCCTACATTTGAACATGAAACAAACTGTAAACAACTTTTAAAGTCAGTAAAACAGAGGGGCTAGGAAAGAGTAGCTCTCCAGAATATTAAAAGAACATTTACAACTGAAATACTATCTTTCACATAAGAAATTGAAACTATGTCACAAACACTAACTTGTTAAAGTGACTCATAATACCTCTTAAAAGTCACAAGGGCCTCAAAACTAGCTATAAATTTCACTATTCTCACATATACCACCACCCCCGTCTTTTATACTGACCCACTAAGACAGGTAACAATGTTATTTATGTATCTACAGTGCTTTCCATTAAGTGAGCAAGAACTTTACATTTAAGGATGACCTTGCCACATCCCTAAGGAATTGTGAGGATTGTGCAACTCAGGTTTAGCAAGTGAGCCATTAAACTTAATTCTCATTCAAACTTAGTTTGAATGACCTTTGTTTCTATTCGGTACCACAAGAAACATAAAATCCAACTTATCTAGTCTCTTATAACTTTCAAAATATAGGTAGTGTTGAGCTTTTCTTTTCATTTCAATATGCTCTTAAATTCTACATTACAATTAAAGGAAAGATTACATTTATCTTACTGAAATAAAAGTGGTCTGAAAACAATTCAATTGTTTTCAGAGGAAAAGGCATCAAATATCCACAAGACTCTTTTGAAATTATATATTCTGCAGTGGGATAATTATGTTACCTAACCAGAATAGTAATGACACATGCATTTAAAGCTGATAAAAATGAAAGTCTTGTCAAAAGGAAGTGACAGCCCAACTTGTCAGGCCAAACATGCTTTGGCATAGAACTTTATATGCTCTTTAAAATGATTTTAATAAAAATAATAAGCTAATCAATGCAATCAAACTTTGAAGGTAATAACAATATCAATTATCAATTTTGTCCTCTCGATACTCCTTGGCTAGTTTTGCATTTCTGCTAACATCATTGGTCCTGGATGATTCTGAAACTTCAGCCTACAATACCGTAAAGTCTTTACTGTATATGTTCAACTTCAAGCATAAGAGAAATTACAATTAAAAGTATAATCAGAGGCTGGGCACAGTGGCTCAGTCCTGTAATTACAGCACTTTGGGAGGCCGAGGTGGGAGGATAACTTGAGCTCAGGAGTTTGAGCCTAGCCTGTGCAACATAGCGAGACCACTTCCCTACAAATAATTAAAAAAATCAGCCAGGCATGGTGGCATGTGTCTGTGGTCCCAGCTACTTGGGAGGCTGAGGCAGGAGAATCACCTCAGCCCAGGAGGCCAAGGCTGCAGTGAGCAGTGATCACACCACCACACTCTAACATGGGTGACAGAGTGAGACCTTGTCTCAAAAAAAAAAAAAGGGGGCGGGGGGGGGGGGTGGGGTGGTAATCAGGGCCAGGCATGGTAGCTAATGCCTGTAGTCCCAGAACTTTGGGAGACTGAGGTGAGAGGATTGCTTGAGGCTGGAGTTTGAGACCATCCTGGCCAACATGCCAAGAAGTCTCATAAAAATATTAAAAATATAAAAAATAAAGTACAATCAGATTTCTCCTTTTCCATCAGATGGATAAAGTTCAGTAATTTAATAATATGGTAGAAAACAGACATTTATATGTTAGCTGTGGTGATATAAACCAGTTTCACTTTATAGAGGACAACTGGTAATATCTGTCAAGTTTATAAATGCATATACCCTTTAACTCAGCAATTTTAGAATGTTATCCTTCAAATATTTATTTGTACATACATGAAATTATATAATACATTACTGATAAAACACAGACAAGAATATGTATACAACCCAAATGACCACCTAAAGGAGACTGGTTAAATAAATGAGTATAATTGAAAGAAAATTAGGACCTGAACTAAGACCTTTGAGAAAAGAGTAAAAGACTATGAGAATAATGTCAATCTTTTACCTTTTTTTCTCTAGAAAACTAAGACATTAGAAACAAAAAGTCTTAAAACACATTCCTACATAAAAAAAAGAATTCCTTCTGTAAAACGACCTCAGTCGAAAACATAATAATTGGTATAAATTCTTACTCTTTTAAAATAAAGATTAAATTCCAGCTAAAAATTCTCCAGATATGGCAGTATATTGCTCTTTGAATTGAACTGAGGAAGGGCGAGGGTGAGAGACATAAAAGATGAAAACAGTGAAAGGAAGAAATAAAGGGAAGGGAAAAAGTAAAAAGAAAAAGAGGAAAATAGGTCGGACACAGGGGCTCACACCTGTAATCCCAGAACTTTGGGAGGCTGAGGCGGGGGGATCACCTGAGGTCAGGAGTTCGAGACCAGCCTGGCCAACACAGTGAAACCCTGTCTCCACTAAACATACAAAAATCAGCCAGTCACTGTATTCGCAGCTACTCGGAAGGCTGAGACAGAAGAATTACTCAAACCCGGGAGACGGAGGTTGCAGTGTGCAGAGATCGCACCACTGCACTCCAGCCTGGGCGACACGGTGAGATTCCATCTTTAAAAAAAAAAAAAAAAGGCAGGGCGTGGTGGCTCGCCCCTGTAGTCCTAGCACTTTGGGAGGCCGAGGCGGGTGGATCACGAGGTCAGGAGTTCAAGACCAGCCTGGCCAAACCCCATCTCTACTAAAAATACAAAAAAAAAAATTAGCCGGGCGTGGTGGCAGGTGCCTGTAATCCCAGCTACTTGAGAGGCTGAGGCAGAGAACTGCTTGAACCCAGGAGGTGGAGGTTGCAGTGAGCCGAGACCACACCACTGCACTCCAGCCTGGGCAACAGAGTGAGACTCCGTCTCAAAAAGAAAAAAAATAAGTGTTATGAATAAATATGTTTAAAAACTTACAAATCATCAACTGCCATTTATCAGTACAACTAAACTTAATGATAACAGGATATATTTCTGGAGAAGAAAACTTTGGAATTATTTTCAAGGAAAATGAATGTTGAACTTCCATGATACTTTGTGTATTTTTCACAGTATAGAAAATTAGATATTCACTTCCTAACCAACATAAACAAAAAAGATAAAAATAATAGAAGGAAGATATTTTACTATTTAAGTCTGCATGACAGAAAGAAAATTTATTTTTTTATTTAATTTTTTATTTTATATATTTATTTTTTTTGAGATGGAGTCTCACTCTGTTGCCCAGGCTGGAGTGCAGTGGCACCATCTCAGCTCACTGCAAGCTCCGCTTCCCGGGTTCACGCCATTCTCTTGCCTCAGCCTCCTGAGTAGCTGGGACTACAGGCGCCCGCCACTGCACCCGGCTAATTTTTTGTATTTTTAGTAGAGACGGGGTTTTACCATGGTCTCGATCTCCTGATCTCGTGATCCGCCCGCCCCGGCCTCCCAAAATGCTGGGATTACAGATGTGAGCCACCGTGCCCAGCTGAAAATTTATTTTTATATTATTTTCAATTCTAATTTGTCAAAAGGATATATGGAAATAGGAATACAAATCTTCTATATTTAAACAGGTTTATCTGCATACGTAATATCTAATAAACAATTAAAATATTTAAAATGTACCACTTAATTTATTAAAGCCCCCCCACCCTTTTTTTTTCTTTTGAGACGGAGTCTCACTCTGTCGCCCAGGCTGTAGTACAGTGGTGAGATTTCGGCTCACTGCAACTTCAGCCTCCCGGGGTCGAAGTAATTCTCCTACCTCAGCCTCCTGAGTAGCTGGGATTACAGGTGCGCACCACTACGCCCAGCTAATTTTTGTATTTTTAGTAGAGACAGGGTTTTACCACGTTGGTCAGGCTGTTCTCAAACTCCTGACCTCGTGATCCACCCACCTCGGTCTCCCTAAGCCCTGGGATTACAGGTGCGAGCCACCGCGCCCAGCCTTATTGAAGCCATTTTAAACTACTGTGTATTCTGAAATTTAAAAGGGCTAGGATTCAAAATTGAAATAACTGAGAAGTATATTCAAAATGAAAAATACACAAAATTCTTGGGTTGGACACTTTTCAGTAGCTTTTCAGTTACTTGCTATGGAATATAAAAAGCATTCACTTTTACAAAAATCTAAAATAAAATATTATAAAACTTGATTAATTTAAGGTTCTCATCTTTTGATTTGAACACAAACTTCAAAGTAAAAGAGGAAATATATAAGTAAAAGTCAATTATATGGTTACAGTGTACAGTGAAGTTTCAATAATCTGCTTTATGTCTTAATGCCTTCTATAAACTATATCTATTCCCTCTGAAAAGCTTTGGATTATATTATCCTCTTAAATCTAGGCTGCTAGTTTTCTCTGGCACATAATCACTGCCTCTAGCCCTCTCTCTTAAAGACAGTGTCTTTATCAGGCTAGGCACAGTGGTTCATGCCTGTAATCCCAGCACTTTGGGAGACCGAGACAGGTGGATCACCTGAGGTCAGGAGTTTGAGACCAGCCTGACCAGTATGATGAAACCCCATCTCTACTAAAAATACAAAAATTAGCCAGACATGGTGGCGTGTGCCTGTAGTCCCAGCTACTCAGGAGGCTGAGACAGGAGAATTGCTTGAACCTGGGAGGTGGAAGTTGCAGTAAACCAAGATCACGCCACTGCACTCCAGACTGGGCGACAGAGCAAGACTCCATCTCAATTTAAAAAAAAAGCGTCATTATCATTTGGTGACATCAAACTTTACCATCAGAATCACCCAGATGACTTGTTAAAACACAATTTTTTAGGTTCTACCCTCAGAGTTGCTCATTCAGTAGGTCTGGAGTGGGGCCCAAGAATTTGCATTTCTAGTAAGTACCCAGGTGATAACGCTGCTGATCTGGGACCACCCTTGGAGAACCACTGACTTAAACCATTTGTAACACAGTTAGAAGGCCAAAAACAAAAAACAAAGCAAAGCAAAACAAAACAAAACAAAAAGCAGGAAATAGTCTGTTAAGGAGCAAGGAAAAGAACAGTCCCAGAGGCCGGGTGCAGTGGCTCACGCCTGTAATCCTAGCACTTTGGGAGGCCGAGACGGGCGGATCACTTGAGGTCAGGAGTTCTTAACCAGCCTGGCCATCATGGTAAAACCCCCATCTCTACTAAAAATATAAAAAAATTAGCCAGGTGTGGTCGCAAGCACCTGTAATCCCAGCTACTCAGGAGGCTCAGGCAGGAGAACTGCTTGAACCTGAGGTAGAGGTTGTGGTGAGTCGAATTCATGCCACTGCACTCCAGCCTGAATGACAGAGCAAAACTGTCTCAAAAAAAAAAAAAAAAGAAGAAGAAGCAAAGAATAGTCCCAGAACCCTCTTTTTTTCCCCAAAGTGTTGGGATTACAGGTGTGAGCTACCGCGTCCAGCCCCAGAACCCTACCCTTTTTACTCCACAGAAGTATGGAGTCTTATACAGGCCTTCAAGCTGACAGATGAGTACATACTAGCTTTTTGATTCTCTTCCAAATTCCTTATTTATGACTATACTTTTGGCAGTCTCCTGATAAAATGAAATCTACCAATGTATTTCAGTTCAATCACGTGTTTGGGAAATACCTACTTCCCATCAGGTCTAAACTGCTGTAAAGGAGAATATAGGAAAAACAAATAAAACCAAGTTTCTACCCACAATGTACTTCCAATCTAGTTAGGGTAAAAAAGCAGCACACATATGTTCACAAAAACAGCTAAGAAAAGATAGTGCAGTACTAATAAATGAGGATTCAAGTGATAAAATCAAATATTTGTATTTCTTCATTTAACAATATTAGCTAAACACCTACTTTGTGCCTGGCACAGTTATTGGTACTGGGACTAAAGTAGTGACAAAACAAAACAGAGCTAACAATCCAGTGAATGAAATATATGTTGCCTAAGACGTATGTGTACCAGTAGCATACGTTATATTTACTTAGAACCAGAAACACAGTTGCAGGCAAAAGCAGTGAATATAAAAATAAACACAAAAAGCAACTGGATGCCTATTTAACTCTAGAGTCAAGTAGAGAACTGATGTTCAACTTAAAAATTGCTTGCTTGCTTATTCATTTATTTGTTTATTTCTTTGAGACAGGGTCTCACTCTGTTGCCCAGGCTGGAGTGCAATCATAGCTCACCGCAGCCTCGAACTCCTCAACTCAGGCAATCCACCTGCCTCAGCCTCCCAAAGTGCTGGAATTACAGGCTTGAGCCACCGCGCCGGGCCTATGTGTTTTTAAGGAGGCCGGCCTGAGTGTGGTTTTCCTTGTTGAAATGTGTCTCTAAGCAGGTTCCTGGCTCCTGGACTTTCTGGGGCAGGGTTTCCACCCTGTCCCTGGGCAGCCCAGGGGCTGACCCGGAAACCGTGAATTCAGCATGCTCAGCAAAGCCTACAAAGCCATCCTCTTCTGGACAAAGTTCAGACTTCAATTCCTCTGTTCTCAGATGTCAGGCATAGAGCAGAGCCTTGTTAACCACGGTCACACTGTTTCATACTGAATTGTTACAAATTAGTACTTATTCATCCTGCGTAACTGCAACTTTGTATTTTTAACCAATACCTCTTCATTTCCTCCTGCTGATGATCAGGGTATATCCATAGATAATCATCACATTGGCCTGGTGCGGTGGCTCACACGTGTAATCCCAGAACTTTGGGAGGCCGAGGCGGGCGGATCACGAGGTCAGGATACGAGACCATCCTGGCTAAAACGGTGAAACCCTGTCTCTACTAAAAATACAAAAAAATTAGGTGGACATGGTGGGTGGGTGCCTGTAGTCCGAGCTACTGGGGAGGCTGAGGCAGGAGAATGGTGTGAACCCGGGGGAGGCGGAGGTTGCAGTGAGTCGACATCGCACCACTGCACTCCAGCCTGGGCAACAGAGCGACAGAGCGAGACTCTGTCTCAAAAAAAAAGTCTACCAAGGAGTTTTGCTTCACCCATGAAAGGAAGAAAATGGTCCAGGTAAAACGGCCATCGGGATGTAACAAAAAATTGTCAACGATCACACTCTATAGAGGTGGCTGATTTGATACAACACCCAGTGAAATTTTTGACAACAAATATTGCAGACTGCAAGAGACGCTTCTTGTTCGTAGAAATAGAAATAAAGCATGGTGTCTGCGCCTGGCTTTCTGCTGTAAGCTGAAGTACTTCATGGCAGCAGGAATTGGGCAACCCACCGTTTACACTCCACCCTTTGAAACTGGGCTGAATGGGGTGGGGACCCGCCTTTGGGGAGAAAAGCAAATTTTATTTAAGCCCCTGAAAGACGAGAGGGTTGGCCAGGCTCGGTGGCTCACGCCTGTAATCCCAGCACTTTGGGAGGCTGAGGTGGGTGGAACACTTGAGGTCAGGAGTTCGAGACCAGCCTGGCCAGCACGATGAAACCCAGTCTCTACTGAAAATACAAAATGAACCAGGCGTGGTGGCACATGCCTGTAATCCCAGCTACTGGGGAGGCTGAGGCAGGAGAATCGCTTGAACCCTGGAGGCGGAGTTTGCAGTGAGCCAAGATCATTCCATTGCACTCCAGCCTGGGTGACAAGAGCGAAACTCTGTCTCAAAAAAAAAAAAAAAAAAAATGCGTATACCCCAGCCACTGGAAAATGAGATTTCTGAGCAGCTGGATCTGATAATTACCATGAGGTGTCATTACATGATATACACGTGCTTGGAAACAGTATATTATATGTCATAAATGTGTACAATCATTATGGAGTTTTTTTCTTGAGACAAGGTCTTGCTCTGTTGCCTAAGCTGGAGTGTGCAGTGATGCAATCATGGCTCAGTACAGCCTCAACCTCCTGGACTCAAACCATCCTTCCACCTCAGCCTCCCCAGTAGCTGGAAATACAGGTCTGCACCAGTAGGTCCAGCTAACTTTTGTACTTTTTTTTAAGAGATGAGATCTTGCTATGTTGCCCAGACTGGTCTTGAACTTCTGGCCTTGTGATTCTCCCACCTCAGCCTCCCAAAGCGCTGGGATTACAAGCGTGAGCCACTGCGCCTGATCCGAACGATGACTCTTAAAAATAAAATAAAACTTTAGAAAAGAAGAAAATCTAATGGTGGTTTTTGTCTTTTCATTGGCTCTGTGTTACTTTGTAGCTGTAATTTTTTTTTCCTTCATTAAGTCAGCTCCAAATTTGCAAACTCAAGTGAAAGGTGAGTGAGTTTTCTGTGTATCTTCTTGGCATGGGGTGGTGAGTGTGTGTACGTGTGAGTGTGTGTGTGTGAGTGTGCTGGCTGTCTTGGCTGGCTTCGCTGGCTGGCTGGCTTGGCTGCTTGGCTGGCTTGGCTGGCTTGGCTGGCTGGCAGGCTTGGCTGGCTGGCTTGGGTGGCTGGCGTGGCTGGCTGGCTGTTTTGGCTGGCTTGGCTGGCTGACTGGCTTCGCTGGCTTGACTGGGTGGCTTGGCCATCTTGGCTGGCTGAGTGGCTTGGCCGGCTTGGCTGGCTGGCTGGCTTGGCTGGCTGAGTGTCTTGGCCAGCTTGGCTGGCTGGGTGGCTTGACCGGCTTGGCTGGCTGGGTGGTTTGGCTGGCTTGGCTGGCTGGGTGGCTTGGCAGGCTTGGCTGGCTGGCTGGCTGGCTGGCTTCGCTGGCTGGGTGTCTTGGCTAGCTTGGCTGGCTGGGTGTCTTGGCTGGCTTGGGTTGCTGGGTCTCTTGGCAGGCTTGTCTGGCTGGGTGGCTTGGCTTGCTTGGCTGGCTGGGTGTCTTCGCTGGCTTGGCTGGCTGGCTGGCTTGGCTGGCTTGACTGGCTGGCAGGCTTGGCTGGCTTTTCTGGCTGACTGGCTTGGCTGGCTTGGCTGGCTTGGCTGACTGGCTTGGGTGGCTTGGCTGGTTTGGCTGGCTGGCTGGCTTGACTGGCTTGGCTGGCTGGCTGGCTTGCATGGCTTGCTTGGCTGGCTGGCTTGGCCGGCTTGGCTGGCTGGCTGTCTTAGCTGGCTTGGCTGGCTGGGTTGGCTGGCTTGGCTGGCTCGCTGGCTTGCCTGGCTTGGCTGGCTTGGCTGTCTTGGCTGGCTGGCTGGCTTGGCTGGCTTGGCTGGCTGGCTTGCCTGGTTTTGCTGCCTGGGCTGGCTGTCTGGCTGGGCTGTCTGGCTGGTTGGCTGGCTTGGCTGGCTTGGCTGGGTGGCCGGCTTGGCTGGCTTGGCTGACTGGCTTGGCTGGGTTGGCCAGCTTCGCTGGCTGGCTTGGGTCTCTTGGTTTCCTGGGTTGGCTGTCTGGCTGGTTGGCTGGCTTGGCTGGCTTGGCTGGGTGGCTGGCTTGGCTGGCTTGGCTGACTGGCTTGGCTGGTTTGGCCAGCTTTGCTGGCTGGCTTGGGTCTCTTGGCTGGCTTGGCTGGGTGGCTGGCTGGCTTGGCTGGGTGGCTGGTTTGGCTGGCTGACTGGCTGGGCTGGCTGGGCTCGCTGTCTGGCTTGGCCGGCTCGGCTGGCTGGCTGGCTGGCTGGGCCGGCTTGGCTGGCTTGGCTGGCTTGGCTAGTTGGCTGGCTTGGCTGGTTTGGCTGGCTGGCTTGGCTGGCCGGGTGGCTTGGCTGGCTTGGCTAGCTGACTGGCTTGACTGGTTGGCTGGCTTGGCTGGCTTGGCTGGCTGGCTTGGCTGGCCGGGTGGCTTGGCTGGCTTGGCTAGCCGGCTGGCTTAGCTGGCTGGATGGCTTGGCTGGCATGCCTGGCTTGGCTGGCTGGCTGGCTTGGCTGGCTTGGCTGCCTGGCTGGCTTGGCTGGCATGGCTGGCTTTGCTGGCATGCCTGGCTTTGCTTGCTGGCTGACTTGGCTGCCTGGCTGGCTTGGCTGGCATGCCTGTCTTGGCTGGCTGGAGGTCTTGGCTGGCTTGGCTGGCTTGGCTGCCTGGCTGGCTTAGCTGGGTTGGCTCGCTGGCTGGCTGGCTGGTGGGCCTGGCTGGCTGGGTGGTTTGGGTGGCTTGGCTGGCTGTGTGGCTTGGCTGGCTTGGCTGGCTGGGAGGCTTTGCTGGCTTGGCTGGCTGGCTGGCTGGGTGGCTTGGCTAGCTGGTGGCTTGGCTGTCTTGGCTCGCTGGCTCTCTTGGTTGGTTGGCTGGCTTGGCTGCTTTGGTTGGCTGGCTGACTTGGCTGTCTGGGTTGGCTGGGTTGCTGGCTGGCCTGGCTGGCTGGGTGGCTGAGTGGCTTGGCTGGCTTGGCCGGCTGGCTTGGCTGGTTGGTCGGCTTGGCTGGCTTGGGTGGCTATCAGCCTTGGCTGGCTTTGCTGGCTGTCTGTCTGTCTTGGCTGGCTTGGATGGCTGGCAGGCTTGGCTGGCTTGGCTGGCTGGCTGGCCAGGTGGCTTGGCTGGTTTGGCTGCCCAGGTGGCTGGGCTGGCTTGGCTGGCCGTGTGGCTTGGCCGGCTTGGCTGGCCGAGTGGATTGGCTAGCTTCCCTGGCCGGCTGGCTTGGCAGGATGGATGGCTTGGCTGGCTTGGCTACCTTGGCTGGCTGGGTGGCTTGGCTGGCTTGGCTGCCTGGCTGGCTTGGCTGGCATGACTGGCTTTGCTTGCTGGCTGGCTTGGCTGGCTTGGCTGCCTGGCTGGCTTGGCTGGCATGCCTGTCTTAGCTGGCTGGCGGGCCTGGCTGGCTTGGCTGGCTTGGCTGCCTGGCTGGCTTGGCTGGCATGCCTGTCTTGGCTGGCTGGCGGGCTTGACTGGCTTGGCTGGCTTGGCTGCCTGGCTGGCTTGGCTGGCTTGGCTCGCTGGCTGGCTGGCTGGCAGGCCTGGCTGGCTAGGTGTCTTGGCTGGCTTGGCTGGCTGGGAGGCTTGGCTGGCTTGGGTGGCTTGGCTGGCTTGGGTGGCTGGCTGCCTGGCTGGCTGGGTGGCTTGGCTGGTTTGGCTGGCTGGCTGGCTGGGTGGCTTGGCTAGCTGACTGGCTTGGCTGGTTGGCTGGCTTGGCTGGCTTGGCTGGCTGGCTTGGCTGGCCGGGTGGCTTGGCTGGCTTGGCTAGCCGGCTGGCTTCGCTGACTGGATGGCTTGGCTGGCATGCCTGGCTTGGCTGACTGGCTGGTTTTGCTGGCTTGGCTGCCTGGCTGGCTTGGCTGGCATGCCTGGCTTTGCTTGCTGGCTGGCTTGGCTGGCTTGGCTGCCTGGCTGGCTTGGCTGGTATCCCTGTCTTGGCTGGCTGGCGGGCCTGGCTGGCTTGGCTGGCTTGGCTGCCTGGCTGGCTTGGCTGGCATGCCTGTCTTGGCTGGCTGGAGGGCCTGGCTGGCTTGGCTGGCTTGGCTGCCTGGCTGGCTTGGCTGGCATGCCTGTCTTGGCTGGCTGGCGGGCTTGACTGGCTTGGCTGGCTTGGCTGCCTGGCTGGCTTGGCTGGCTTGGCTCGCTGGCTGGCTGGCTGGCACGCCTGGCTGGCTAGGTATCTTGGCTGGCTTGGCTGGCTGGGTGGCTTGGCTGGCTTGGCTGTCTGGTCTGGCTGGCTGGCTTGGCTGGCTTGGCTGGCTTGGCTGGTGGCTGCCTTGGCTGGCTTGGCTAGTTGGCTGGCTTGGCTGACTGGCTGGCCGGCTGGCTTGGGTGGCTTGGCTGGCTGGGTTGCCTGGATGGTTTGGCTGGCTGGCTTGGCTGGCTTGGCTTGCTGGCTTGCTTGGCTGGCTTGGCTGTCTGGGCTGGCTGGGTGGCTGGCTGGGCCGGCTGGCTGGGTGGCTAGCTGGCTTGGCTGGCTTGTCTGGCTTGGCTGGCTGGGTGGCAGGCTGGCCTGGCTGGCTGGCTTGCTTGGCTGGCTTGGCTGGCTGGCTGGCTTGGCTGTCTGGGCTGGCTGGCTGGCTTGCATGGCTTGGCTGGCTGGGTGGCTGACCGGCCTGGCTGGCTGGGTGGCTGGCTGGCTTGGCTGGCTGGGTGGCTTGGCTGGCCTGGCTTGCTGTGTGGCTGGCTGGCTTGGCTGGCTGGGTGGCTGGCTGGCCTGGCTGGCTGGGTGGCTGGCTGGCTTGGCTGCCTGGCTGGCCTGCTGGCTGGCTTGGCTGGCTTGGCTGGCTGGGTGGCTTGGCTGGCTTGGTTGCCTGGCTGGCTTGGCTGCCTGGCTGGCTTGGCTGCCAGGCCTGGCTTGGCCGGCTTGGCTGGCATGCCTGGCTTGGCTGGCTGGCTGGCTGGCTTGGTTGGCTTGGCTGGCTTGGCTGCCTGGCTGGCTTGGCTGGCTTGGCTCACTGGCTGGGTGGCTGGCCTGGCTAGCTGGGCGGCTTGGCTGGCTTGGCTGGCTGGCTGGCTGGCTTGGTTGGCTTGGCTGGCTTGGCTGCCTGGCTGGCTTGGCTGGCTTGGCTCACTGGCTGGGTGGCTGGCCTGGCTAGCTGGGCGGCTTGGCTGGCTTGGCTGGCTGGGCGGCTTGGCTGGGTGGCTTGGCTGGCTTGGCTGGCTTGGCTGTCTGGGCTGGCTGGCTGGCTTGGCTGGCTTGGCTGGACAGGTGACTTGGCTGGCTTGAGTGGCTGAGTGGATTGGCTAGCTTGGCTGGCCAGCTGGCTTGGCTGTCTTGGCTGGCTGGGTTGCCTGGATGGCTTGGCAGGCTGGCTGGCTTGGCTGGCTTGGCTGTCTTGGCTGGCTGGGTTGCCTGGATGGCTTGGCAGGCTGGCTGGCTTGGCTGGCTTGGCTGGCAGGCTGGTTTGGCAGGCTTGGCTGTCTTGGCTGGCTGGGTTGCCTGGATGGCTTGGCAGGCTGGCTGGCTTGGCTGGCTTGGCTGGCTGGCTGGCTTGGCTGGTTGGCTGGCTTGGCTGCCTTGGATGGCTATCAGGCTTGGCTGGCTTGGCTGGCTGTCTGTCTTGGCTGGCTTGGCTGGCTGGCAGGCTTGGCTGGCTTGGCTCGCTTGCTGGCTGGCTGGCGGGCCTTTCTGGCTGGGTGGCTTGGCTGGCCTGGCTGGCTCTGTGGCTTGGCTGGCTTGGCTGGCTGGGTGGCTTGGCTGGCTTGGCTGGCTGGGAGGCTTGGCTGGCTTGGCTGCCTGGCCGGCTTGGCTGCCTTGGCTGTCTGGCCGGCTTGGTTGGCTGGCAGGCCGGCCGGCTTGGCTGGCTGGCTGGTTGGCTGGCTTGGCTAGCTGACTGGCTTGGCTGGTTGGCTGGCTTGGCTGTCTTGGCTGGCTGGCTTGGCTGCCTGGCTGGTTTGGCTGGCATGCCTGGCTTTGCTTGCTGGCTGGCTTGGCTGGCTTGGCTGGCTTGCCTGGCTGGCTGGCTTGGCTGGCTTGGCTGGCTGGAGGCTTGGCTGGCTTGGGTGGCTTGGCTGGCTTGGCTGGCTTTCCTGGCTGTCTGGCTTGGCTGGCTTGGCTGGCTGACTGGCTTGGCTGGTTTGGCTGGCTTGGCTGGCTGGCTAGCTGGCTCACTTGGCTGGCTTGGCTGGGTGGGTGGCTTAGCCGGCTTGGCTGACTGGCTTGGCTGGCTTGGACATTAAATATAATAATATATTTGGTACATTAAATATAAATTGTATACGTTAAATATAAACATCTTTTATACATCAAACATAAACATTTTATACATTAAATGTAAACATATCTTATATGTTAAATATAAACATCTTTTATACATTAAATATAAGAATACATTTGGTACATTTAATGTATACAATACATTAAATATAGACATTTTAGACATTAAATATAAGCATATATTCAGCACATTAAATGTAAACATATTTTATACATTAAATATAAATACTGTATATGTTAAATATAAATATGTATTTTCTATATTAAATATAAATATGTATCCTGTACATTAAATATAAACATATTTTCTATATTAAATATAAACATGTATTTTGCATAGTAAATATAACTATACATTTTCTATATTAAACATCAACATGTATTATGTATATTAAACATAAACATATATTTCCCATATTAAATATAAACATATATTTTTATATGTTAAATATAAATATATATTTCCTGTATTAAATATACACATATATATTAAATATAAATATATTTTTCTGTATGAAATGTAAACATATTTTAAACATTAAATATAAATATTCGTCTTAGATATGGCCCGTGTTGGAATGTGTAGTAGATTGAGTATATAATGTCTACTCAATATAAAATTTATATTTATATATGCAGTAATGATTCAAGTTGATTGTAGTTAAGAAAAACAAGCTCCAAATTCGAAAGAAATATGTAAGAAGAGAGACAGGAAGAAAAAATAATGAGGCAGGTAAATGCAACAGACAATTCGAGACCCACAAATGCAGAGCAGGCTTCCCAGACCCGGGTAATGTCTCCTGGGCTGATAGGAAGCCCTCAACCCCCCAAGTCCTTCTCAGCCGTAAACCGCCTGAGCACAGAGCCACAGGGACCGTGTTGGGGCTGGGCCTCCCGACTTCAGTTCCTCTCATTCTGTGCAAAAGGAAAAACAATTCAGAATCTACAGAGTTTTAGAGGTGTGCAGATGTGGACAGAGAAGTCCGGGCACAGTGGTTTACTGCCCAAGAAGACAGTGAGTCCCCGGAGGAATAGAAGAATATACATCATGCTAATATATGTCATCCCAGTACTTTGGGAGGCCGAGGCAGGTGGATCACTTGAGGTCAAGAGTTCGAGACCAGCCTGGCCAACATGGTGAAACCCCGTCTCTACTAAAAATACAGAAATTAGTTGGCCGCGGGGGTGGATGACTGTGATCCCAGATACTCGGGAGACAGAGGCAGGATGAACTGCTTGAACCTGGGAGGAGGAGGTTGCAGTGAGCTGAGATCATGCCATTGCACTCCAGCCTGGGGAAAAGAGCAAGATCCCGTCTCAAAGAAAAAAGAAAAAAAGAAAGAAGTTGTGAGTGCTAAGTTCTCTCTGGATTTTCAGGAGGCCAGTTCTCCAGTCCACGGTGGCCTGGGAGGACAGGGGTTCCTGAGGGTGAACAGAGCCTGTGCCCGGTCAGGTAGGATCATATGTCCCTGAAGTTCAGAACCCAGGAGCATGGGGATGGTCCTGGGGGTTCCTGCTGCACGGAGGGAAGACCCTCTTTCCACAGGGGCCCCGGAGAGCGAGAGGAAGGAGGAGGGCAGGTCAGTGAGTGTGATGGGGTCACAGTGGAGAGGGAAGCAGAAAGAAGTGTTCCCACAGCAAGACACACACAGTGTCCACGCTGAAGCTACAGAGAGGACCTCTCCACCTGTGTCTGCCGCAAAGCAGTGGGGCGTCTTCTGGCAGCCCAGAGTCACCTCCAGATCCCACCTGCACCATGCTTCCTGCGGAGACTGCCTGTCTTCCTAATACACTGTCTTCTGACCAGTCTTCCAGACAAATCACCGGTTGCTATATATATATATTTTTTAATAGCTAATATCTTACACTGATATATTTATATTATATATAAATAATTTTGTGCTTTATGTTTATGCTATATATACAGATGTAGTTATTTATGTTATATATAATATAAACATGATGTATATTCTTATATTTCTCTGGGGACTCACTGTCTTCTTAATACACTGTCTTCTGACCAAATTCTTCCAGACAAATCAGCTGTTGCTATATATATATATATGCTATATATTTTATTGCATAGAATATATTATATATTATATATTAATTATAGAATATATTATATATTATATATTAATTATATAATATATGTTACACATTACATATTATATATAATATATTACATTATGCTATATCTTATATATTATATATGTTATATATGTATATATATTATATGTACACATATACACATACATACACACATGTATACTTTAATAGCTAATATCTTACACTGGTATATTTATATTACATATGATTATATACAAATATTTTTGTACTTTATGTTTGTGCTCTATATACAGATGTAATTAGTTGTTTATGTTATATATAATATAAACATGATGTATATTCTTATTTTCCTGTGAGGACCCACTGTCTTCTTAATACACTGTCTTCTGACCAAAGTCTTCCACACAAATCAGCAGTTACTATATATATATATAATATTTATATACACATATACACATACATACACACATATGTATATTTTAATAGCTAATATCTTACACTGATATATTTATATTACATATAGTAATATACTAATATTTTTGTACTTTATGTTTATACTATACATACAGATGTCGTGAGGTATTTATATTATATATAATATATTAACATGATGCACATTCTTGTATTCTCCTGGGGACTCACTGTCTTCTTAATACACTGTCTTCTGACTAGAATATTCCAGACAAATCACCGGTTGCTCTCTCTCTCTCTCTCTCTATATATATATATATTTTTTAATAGCTAATATCTTACACTGATATATTTATATTACATATAGTTATATACAAATATTTTTGTACTTTTGTTTATACTATATACACAGATGTAGTTAGCTATTTATGTTATATATAATATATCAACATGATGTATATTCTTATATTCCTCTGGAGACTCACAGTCTTCTTAATACACTGTCTTCTGACCAAACTCTTCCAGACAAATCAGCTGTTGCAGTATATATATATATTTATTTTTTAATAGCTAGTATTTTACACTGTGGCTCATGCCTGTAATCCCAGCATTTTGGGAGGCCGAGGCGGGTGGATCACCTGAGGTCAGGAATTTGAGACCATCCTGGCTAACACAGTGAAACCCCATCTCTACTAAAAATACAAAAATTGATTGGGTGTGGTGGTGCATGCCTGTAATCCCAGCTACTCGGGAGGCTGAGGCAGGAGAATCGCTTGAACCCAGGAGGCAGAGGTTGCAGTGAGCCGAGATCGTGTTGCTGCACTCCAGCCTGGGCAACAGAGCGAGACTTCATCTCACACACACAAAACAGCTTACACTGATGTATTTATATTACGTGTAGCTGTATATAAATATTTTTGTACTTATATTCTATATATTATAAAAGATTATATAAAATTATACATGTATAATAAAATGTTACATAAAAATTTTAATATAATACCATTTTATTACATATATTTCTAAATTTAATATAATGAAATTTTATATATAATAATGTATAACATTTCTAAATTTATTATAATACAATGATATATAATTATTTTCTCATATTATAATTATACATAAGGTAATTTATTATAAATAAAATTTTATATAATCTACATTTATTATAATAAAATTTTATTACATATAACACATTTCTAAATTTAATACAATAAAATACTATGTATAATAATTTATAACGTTTCAAAATTTATTATATAATTTTATTATACAATTATACATAATTATATATAGTATATAATTGTATTTATAGAAATATAATGATGCATATGCAATATGTAATTTTATTTTTACACAGTATATATGCATAATTATGTATTAACAAATATAATAATATCAATTTTATATACTTATTTACATTAAGTTATATATTATATAAATGATGTTATATGTTATATATGTTACATATATTTTTGCTTAATATATTAAATTTAATCTATAAAATTATGTATTAGAAATAGAAGTATTTTACATATACACTACATATAACTTTATTTATATAAAAATATAAAAGTCATATGGTTAAGTTAATAAAATAATTTGTATCAATCTATTCATATAAAATATACACAATGCATATTTATATAAATACAAAGTATATAAAACTTTTACCAGTAGGATGCAAAGAGTTGCTGACCGTCTGCAGAAATCCTGAACCTCTGGAAGCAGAATAAAATCTTACCTCCCAGTCTGCTTTGAAAGGAACAGTAAAGCAGTCCCGAACCCCAAACCCACCCTAAAGGGAGATGGGGGAGTTGGGATGGACGCGTTGACCAGTGAGGACTTTCCTTTGCTGGTTTTGAGGTGTCTTAGCCCAGAAGCTAAGATGGGAAGTGATTCTGGAGCAGGTGAGCTGATCACAAGCCTGAGCCAAGAATCCATGGAGCTCATAAATAGCAGAAGCCAGGACCCTGTGCAAATCCTTCTGAAATATTCTCCATTTACTGGGCTCCTAGGGGTGGGGAAGAAAAATTCCCTGACATTTCGGCCTCAGGGAAAGAGAGAGACACCCCACTGGCCGGAAGCCTCTGCTATTTTTCAGAAGACAGCTGGGGCATCACCCTTTCCCAAATGACGGTGATTTTCAGAGTGGTTCACTTTTTGGAGAGACATTTCTGCCCTGGAGATCCATACATATTGAACCCAAATGAATATTTTTTAATAAAAAAAAATTAAACTTTAGAAAGTTCAATATTGAGGCAGCTACGAGTATGAATTCCTCATTTTTCCTAAATGCATGTTGTCAAAATTTGTATTGCATTTAGTAACTACTTATGTTTCTAATGTATATAAGGTTACACAATGTTTTCTTCTTTTTCTGCTCCTCAGGGTCAGAATTTGAAATAAAAGTTTTGGAAAGAAAAAACACTCTTGTCTGTTTGTGCAAAAATAAAATAACCCATATTTTAAGAATATTTTAAAATAAATACAAATTTTGTGTGGGGGGGTTGCTTATAAGAATTCTTCATATCCTAAATCAAAGATAGATCTTGTTATTAACCAGAAAACAAAATGTGTGTGTATAAATGTACAACACTCTTACACTCACACAAACACAGGCACACATGCACACACACACATTCACGCACTCACTGATGTACTCACACAAACACAGGCATTCATGTATAAATACACACATAAGCGTGTATTTATAGAAATATAATTATGCACATACAATATATAATTTTATTTTTACATAGTATATATACATAATTACGTATTAACAAATATAATAAGATCAATTTTATTATATACTTATTTACATAAAGATATATTATATAAATGATGTTATATGGCATGTATATATCACATATAACTTTGCTTAGTATATAAAATTTAATCTATAAAATTATGTATCACAAATAAAAGTATATTTTACATATACACTATATATAACTTTATTTATATGAACTATAAAAATCATGTTTATATTAATAAAATATATTTATTTATATCAATATATTAATATAAAGTATGCACAATGTATATTTATATAAAAATTTTTAATTAAAAAATATTCATTTGGGTTCAATATGTATGGATCGCCAGGGCAGAAACATCTCTTCAAAAGGTGAACCGTTCTTAAAATCACCGTCATTTGGGAAAGAGTGATACCCCACCTGTTTTCTGAGAAACAGCAGAGGCGTATGGCCAGCGGGGTATCTCTCTCTTTCCCTGAGGCCGAAAAGTCAGGGAATTTTTCTTCCCCACCCCTAGGAGCTCTGTAAACCGGGGATATTTCAGAAGGATTTGCACAGGGTCCCGGCTTCTGTTGTAAATGAGCTCCATGGATTCTCGGCTCAGACTTGTGATCAGCTCACCTGCTCCAGAATCACTGACACAAATGCAACCACACACTTACACAAACACACATCAACACAAAGACAGAATCACAAAACACACTCATAGAAACACATGGACACACGAAGACATGCACACTCACACAAATTCAGGGACACACAAACACAATTACAAAAATGTGTGGGTTTTTTGCACACGTGGGTGCACATGCACATTGACATTCTCACAAAGCACACAAACACGTATACATACAAAGTCACTCATAAACAGAAACATGCAAACACTCTCATATAAACACGTGGATGGCTACTCACCCACATAGACACTCATATATGTCATACACACTCATACGCACACTCAGAATCACACAAGCACACACAAACACATAAATACAGTCACACACTCATGGAAACACAGTCACAAAAAGACTCACATAATCATGTGGACACACAAACATAAAAATTCACACACTGGGGCCGGGCAAGGTGGCTCACGCCTGTACTCCCAGAACTTTGGGAGGCCGAGGCGGGCAGATAACTTGAGGTCGGGAGTTCCAGACCAGCCTGGCCAACATGGTGAAACCCCGTCTCTACTCAAAAATACAAAAATTAGCCAGATGTAGTGGCTTATGCCTGTAATCCCAGCTACTCAGGAGGCTAAGGCAGGAGAATCATTTGAACCCGGGAGGCAGAGGTTGCAGTGAGCCAAGATCATGCCACTGCACTCCAGCCTGGGCGACAGAACGAGACTCCGTATCAAAAAAGAAAAATTAGCCAGATGTGGCGGTGGGTGCCTGTAATCCC
Source organism: Homo sapiens (assembly GCF_000001405.40). Taxonomy (NCBI): domain Eukaryota; kingdom Metazoa; phylum Chordata; class Mammalia; order Primates; family Hominidae; genus Homo; species Homo sapiens. The sequence continues at coordinate 66,509 of NT_187367.1, forward strand.
AGGTACTCAGGAGGCTGAGGCAGAAGAATTGCTTGAACCCGGGAGGCGGAGGTTGCTGTGAGCTGAGATTGTACCTTTGCACTCCAGTATGGGTGACAGAGCGAGACTCCATCTCAAAAAAAAAAAAAAGAATTTATACATTGCCATACAGATTCACACACATACACTCATATTCACAAACAGACAAATACGATAAACGCAGGGGCACACAAAAACACCATCACAAAAACACACTTCCATAAAACACAGGAATGCACGCTCACACAGAAACACGCATGGAAACACACATTGTCTTACAGACTCACAGACACACTCATCATCACATAAACAGGCACACACACACACAGCCACACAAGCACACACCCACACCCACATCAACACACACACTCCCACACGGCACACATGCGCTCACGCACACAGGTAGAACAGGCCTGCATTACCTGATAACGCAGTTAAATCAGACGTGATGCTGCCTGCTGAGGAGACCTGGAGGCTTCCCATGAATGGGCTTTCAGAAGAGAGGTCTCTGGGTGCATTTGGTGACACCCCAGGCAGTGGGGGAGACGTCCAGGCTGGAAGGCCAGACACAGCCAGCTCTGCTCAAGGATGCCACGTCCATTTGCTTCAGTAGGATATGTACCCTGGAAACCCAGCTTCCTGCCTCTCCAGGAAACCCCACTGAGGTCAGCACATCCCCCCAGGTTTAGAAGGGGTCTCTGGGTGCATCTGGTGACACCCCAGGTGGGGGGGAGACATCCAGGCTGGAAGGCCAGCCACAGCCAGCTCTGCCCGCGGATGCCACGTCCATTTGCTTCAGTAGGATCTGCATCCTGTAAACCCTGGTTCCTGCTTCTCCAGGACACCCCACTGAGGTCAGCACTCTCCCCAGGTTTAGAAGGGGTCTCTCAGTGAAATGTGGTGACACCCCAGGCAGAAGGGGGGATGCCACAGCCAGCTCTGCCCGCGGATGCCACGTCCATTTGCTTCAGTCGGATCTGCACCGTGGATACCCAGGTTCCTGCCTCTCCAGGACACCCCACTGATGTTAGCACACCCTCCAGGTTTACAAGCGGTCTCTGGGTACATTTGGTGACACCGTAGGCAGAGGGGGGACACCACAGCCAGCTCTGCCCGCGGATGCCACGTCCATTTGCTTCAGTAGGATCTGCACCCTGTAAACCCTGGTTCCTGCCTCTTCAGGACACCCCACTGAGGTCAGCACCCCCCACCCCCCACCCCCAGGTTTGTGCAGCTTCACTGTCTGGGGAGGGACACAGAAAGACCACATTCGGTGGAATTCTGGCTATAACCTTTTGTGGCCGGCAAGAAGGATCACCAAGCTGTCCTGTTACCTTGCTGGAGTGATCACTGGCTTCACGCTTGGCCCCCGTGCAGTGAGTGCCTGGGCCAGGCTCGATTCTTGGAGCTCCAGTGAAATTTGGGCTTGGAGCTCACGCCTGCACCATCCAGAAAGCAGAAGGCAGCTGGCCCGGGCTGTACGGTTCGTAGAATCAGAGAGAACACTGCTTGCCTTCATGTCTGTACCACAATAAATCTGCCAACTGTGGTCAAAGTCTCTGGATTCCTGCCCCCTCATTTTATTTTGTCTATTATGGAGTGGAAGGAGTGAGAAAGATTTTGCTTCCTATTTTGTTTTGCAAGGCGTTTCTAAGAAAAACAACCCGTGTTCTGCAAACGAGATTCTGAGTGTCCCCTGGGCGTGATGAAAACAAACTTTGGGAATCCAAGGGCCTGAGAGGCAGAGTGAATGTCATTCACATTTCCCTGCGAATGACAAAGTCACTTTTTATTATTATTATTATTATTATTATTATTATTATTATTATAGATTCAGGGGATCCATGGGCAGCTTTGTGTCCTGGGGATATTGTACAATGCTGAGGTTTGGGGTATGAATAATCCCGTCACCCAGGCACTGAGCATTGTACATTCCTGAGGTATATAATGTGTACTAAAAATAAAATGTATATTTATATATGCACTAATGATTCAACTTGATTCCTTGTAATTAAGAAAAACAAACCCCAAATTCGAGAGGAGTTCTAGAAATATATAAGAAGAGGGCCAGGCGCAGTGGCTCATGCCTGTAATCCCAGCACTTTGGGAGGCCAAGGCAGGCAGATTACCTGAGGTCAGGAGTTTGAGACCAGCCTGGCCAACATGGTGAAACCCCGTCTCTGCTAAAAATACAAAAATTAGCCAGGTGTGGTGGCAGGTGCCTGTAGTCCCAGCTACTTGGGAGGCTGAAGTAGAAGAATTGCTTGAATCCAGGAGGCAGAAGTTGCAGGGAGCCAAGATTGCACCACTGCACTCCAGCCTGGGTCACAGAGTGAGACTCCATCTCAAAAAAAAAAAAAGAGAGAGAGAGAGAGAGAGAAAACAAACAAGCAAGAAAATGCAACAGAAAAATCCGTGACCCAAAGATCTCTCCAGTTGCTGCCTTCTGCCTGAAATTCAAAGAATCTCAGGGTAGTTTTTCAACTCTTGTACCCCCGCCCCTGCTTCCTACTCTATTAGTCCTGAGGGTCTGTGGTGCTCCTTCATTGTGTCCAGGTGCAGGCAATGTTTAGCTCCCACCTATAAGCAAAAACATGTGGTATTTTATTTTCTGTTCCTGGCGTTAATTCACTAAGCATAGTGCCCTTCAGCTTCATCCATGTGACTGCAAAGGGCATGATTTTATTCTTGTTCATGGCTGTGTAGTATTCCATGATGCGGAAGGATCACATTTACTTTATCTAATTGAGCACATGTGGTATTTGATTTTCTGTTTCTGGCATTAATTCACTAAGCATAATTCCCTTCAGCTTCATCCACGTTGCTGCAAAGGGCATGATTTTATTCTTGTTCATGGCTGTGTAGTATTCCATGATGCAGAAGGACCACATTTGCTTTATCTAGTGCAGAACATGTGGTATTTGATTTTCTGTTCCTCATATTGATTCACTAAGCATAATGCCCTCTGGCTGCATCCATGTGGCTGCAAAGACATGATTTTATTTTTTTCATCACTGTGTAGTATTCCGTGGTGTAGAAGGGCCACATTTGCTTTATCCAGTTGAGAACATGTAGTATTTCATTTTCTGTTCCTGGCATTAATTCACTAAGCATAATGTCCTTCAGCTGTGTCCATGTGGCTGCAAAGGACATGACATTATTCTTTTTCATGGCTGTGTAGTATTCCATGACGCAGAAAGACCACATTTGCTTTATCTAGTGGAGAACATGTGGTATTCCATTTTCTTTTCCTGGCGTTAATTCACTAAGCATAATTCCCTTCAGCTGTGTCCATGTGGCTGCAAAAACATGATTTTATTCTTTTTCATGGCAGTGCAGTATTCCATGGTGTAGAAGGGCCACAATTGCTTTATCCAGTCAAGAACATGTGGTATTTGATTTTCTGTTCTTGTGTTAATTCATTAAGCATAATGTCCTCCAGCTACATCCATGTGGCTGCAAAGGACATGATTTTATTCTTTTTCATGGCTGTGTAGTATTCGATGCTGTAGAAGAACCACTTTTGCTTTATCCGGTACCCCACTGATGGGCAACTAGGTTGATTCCATGACTTTCCTATTGTAAGTCGTGCTGTGATGAACCTTACAGGGCCAGGCACTGTAATCCCAGCACTCTGGAGGGCCAAGGTGGGCAGATCACCTGAGGTCAGGAGTTCGAGACCAGCCTGGTCAATATGGTGAAACCCTGTCTCTACTAAAAATACAAAAATTAGCCAGGCATGGTGGTGCATGCCTGTAATCCCAGCTGCTCAGGAGGCTGAGGCAGGAGAATCACTTGAACCCTGGAGACAGAGGTTGCAGTGAGCCGAGATTGCTACTGCACTCCAGCATGGGAAATAGAGCGAGACTCCATCTCAAAAAACAAACAAAAAAGGAACTTTACCATGCATGTGTCTTTTTGGTAGAATGACTTCTTTTCCTTTGGGTAGATGCCCAGTCTTGGAATTGCTGGTGCAAATGGTGGAGCAGTTTGGATTCGGGAGGTACATGTACAGGTTTCTTACATGGGTACAATGTGTGATGCTGAGGTCTGGGGTATGAGTGATCCCATCACCCAGGTAGTGAGCATAATACCTCACAGTTGGTTTTTTCAACTCTTGTCCTTCTACCTTCCTCTCTCCCCCTAACTAGACCCCAATATCTGTTCCCTTCTCTGTGTCTACATATATGCAACATTTAGCTCCCACTTATAAGTGAGAACACGCAGCATTCTGTTAATTTACTTAAGATAATGGCCTCCACACTGTTCACAATAGCAAAGATGTGGAACCAACCCAAATGCTCATCAGTGATAGACTGGATAAAGAAAATGTAGCACATAGACACTGTGGAATACTATGCAGCCATGAAAAAGATGAGTTCATGTCCTTTGCAGGGACATGGATGAAGCTGGAAACCCTCATGTTCAGCAAAGTGACACAGGAGCAGAAAACCAAACAGTGCATGTTCTCACTCATAAGTGGGAAGTGAACAATGAGAACACATCGACCCAGAGAGGGGAACATCACACACTGGGGCCTATTGCAGGGGTGGGGGACTGGGGGAGGGACAGCATTATGAGAAATATCTAATGTAGATGATGGGTTGATGGGTGCAGCAAACCGCTATGGCACATGTATATCTATGTAACAATCCTGCACATTCTGCACATATACCCCAGAACTTAAAGTAGAATAGAAAAAATAATAATAAAAATAATTAAAAAAAATAATGGCCTCCAGCTACATCCATGTTGCTGCAAAAAAAAAAAAAAAAACAAAAAAAAAAACCATGATTTTGTTCCTTTTCAGGGTTGCGTAGTAGTCCATGGTGTAGATGTACCGCATTTTCTTTGAGGGTGGAGGGTGGGAGGAGGGAGAAGATCAGCAAAAATAACCTGTGGCTGGGTATGGCAGCTCACACCTGTATTCTCAGCAGTTTGGGAGGCTGAGGTGGGTGGATCACCTGAGGTCAGGAGTTTGAGATCAGCCTGGCCAACATGGCAAAACCCTATCTCTACTAAAAGTACAAAAATTAGCCGGGCATGGTGGTGCATGCCTGTAATCCCGGCTCCTCTGTAGGTTGAGGCAGGAGAATCTCTTGAACCCAGGAGGCAGACATTGCAGTGAGCTGAGATCGTGCCACTGCCCTCCAGCCTGGGCCACAGAGTGGGACTCCATCTCAAAAAATAATCATAAAAATAATAATAACAACCTGCTAGGCTTAGGACCTAGGTTGATTCCATTACAAAAAAAAAAAAAAAACAAAAAAAAAACCTAACTTTTTAAAAGAAGGATCTCTCTGTTCAAAAACAAAACCAATGCCCTGTCAGGAAAGATGTTCTGTGTTTCTGGTAAAGCTGGAAGGAACCTACAGGAAGGAGTCACCTCATAAAACTAGTGGAGCAGCATTGCCTTTTGGGGTGAGGGCTGCTTCTGTTAGGCCACCAGGATGAGTGCCTTCCTGGGGAGTGTGGTTCATCCTATACCATCCAGGAAGCAATTCCTGCCCCCAAATCACCTGCCAGCTTCTGCCCTGTAAGTAAAATCCCCAGCAAGCGGGCAGCAAGGAGCTGCTTGCCTTGGAAGGCAGCTGAAGTCTCTGCCCACCACCCAGACTGTGTCCTCTGGGCAAGGCCAGGGCTTCCAGTTGGATGGTTTTCACATTAGCGGCTGCTGTTTAGAATCATCAACATTGGCCAGGCGCGGTGGCTCACGCCTGTCATCTCAGCACTTTGGGAAGCCGAGGCGGGTGGATCACAAGGTCAGGGACCAGCCTGGCCAACATGGTGAAACCCTGTCTCAACTAAAAAAAGAAATACAAAAATTAGCTTGGTGTGGCTGGGCATGGTGGCTCATCCCTGTAATCCCAGCACTTTGGGAGGCCGAGGTGGGCAGATCATGAGGTCAGGAGATCAAGACCATCCTGGCTAACATGGTGAAATGAAACCCCGTCTCTACTAAAGATACAAAAAATTAGCCAGGCACGGTGGCAGGCACCTGTAGTCCCAGCTACTCGTGAGGCTGAGGCGGAAGAATGGCATGAACCTGAGAGGCGGGGTTTGCATTGAGCCCAGATTGCGCCACTGCACTCCAGCCTGGGCGATATAGAGTGAGACTCTGTCTCAAAAAAAACAAAAAAATAAAAAATTAGCCTGGTGTGGTGGTGGGCACCTGTAATCCCAGCTACTCAGGAGGCTGAGGCAGGAGAATTGCTTGGACCCCGGAGGCAGAGGTTGCAGTGAGCCGAGATCGCGCCATTGCACTCCAGCCTAGACAACAGAACAAGACTCTGTTGTAAAAAAAAAAAAAAAAAAAAAAAAAAAAGAATCATCAACATTGCCTTGGCCCAATCTCTTCCCAGACTTGTCAAATCTTTACCACTGGACCTCCATGTTCTAGTTTCAAAGCTCTGCTGGCCACAGTGGCTCATGTCTGTAATCCCAGCACTTTGGGAGGCTGAGGTAGGAGGACTGCTTGAACCCAGGAGCATGAATCCATCCTAGGCAACATAGTGATAATAGTGTCAAATGAGAGCCAGTGTCCAGTAATTCCCCAAATATCTGAGAATTTTCTTTTCTTTAAGTCACAGTCATCCTGGCAGAAGGCTGTAGGTCCCTTTGGGGAAGACTGGGAAAAAGATTAACAATGTAAATTTTTGGCAATGTAGCAGCGTACTTCCCCAAGATCACCCAGCCTCCCCTTCACTTAAGGGGTTGTGGGCCTGTGAACTGGCTCAAGTCTGGGAATTGATTGAGGGTTTTAGATCTGTGTTTCATTAATTTGAGTTAGTCTTTTATTCAGTTGACCTAGAATTCTTCATTTTTTAAAGAACAACTAAGACTTTGGTACAGCCCATTAGCTCTCCCTGTGGATACCATGGACTACACAATGCCGTGGGTGTCTGTGAGTCAAGCCATTCTGACTGCTGCTTTGACACTGCTTTCCACTGTGGTGACCACACCCACCTCATCTTTGGTGATTAAGGACAGCCCATGTTCCCTGCCACCCCAGGATTCAATTATCCTCATTTTACTTAAAGATCCCAGTCCAGCGGCTGCAGTTCCTGCTGTAACATTTTGCCTACTGAGAGCACAAGCTCAAAGCTCTTCCAGGATACTGGGCTCCTCTCACAATATTCTTTCTCATGATCGTTGTGAGGAGTATGTTCCGTAGACCCTCCAGTGTGAGTGAGCAGGTCTGACATAATAAATCCAGTCTCCCTGAGTTTTTGCATACCTTTCTGTACACATAAACCAAGGAAGTTGTGGCATCTCAACTTTATGTACCTTAGGTAAACTCTGATTCTGTTTCAGCCAACCAACCAAGTCACCAAACAAATAAGCAAACAGCCAACCAATCAACCAACAAGCAAGCAAGCAACAAACCAACCAAACAACCAAGCAAGGAAGCAAGCACCAACCAACCAAGCAAGCAACCAACCAAGTAACCGATCAAACCAACCCTTGGAGCCCTTTCTAAAGCTTTGACCTACAACCCTGAGTCCAGAATCTCTGTTTAGTGGGCCAACATTAATAAATTTAGCCTAATCCAACTTTATGTTACTTCCACCATGGTGCCACACACTTAATATCCATTCCCACATATATTCTCCAGATTTCCTTCTGTATAAATTGCGTGTGTGTGTGTGTGTAGAAAGAGAGCATCAACTGAAAAATCACACAATTTTATAAATTTAGAAAAGAGAGCTTTATTTCTTATATAGGTTTGCAGTCTGCAAGGTGGCCATTATGACAGGCTGGGAAGTGTGGCCTACAGCCAAGGCCAGAGGCAGGCATTTCCAGGGAGGGAAGGAGAGGACAGGAATTTGAGCCAAATGAGTTGGCTACATATACATACTCAATAGGATATCAGAGGAGCTATATCATTTTATGAGAATACTCATAAAAGAGGTCCTAATGCATGCACATTCAATAAACATGCATGTTCATTCTGGGGTGGAGACTTGACATTTAAATGTATTATAATTAGGCCCTACACATCAAAAAGTGAAGCAGGGACATGAAGGTACTCAGCCTCTGTAAAGGCACTGCCTCCAAAACTGGCCAGAACGAGTCCATGGAGGATGGTCTCTTATCAGGAGAAAGTTACTGAAATCAGTCCCTTGTCCAGAGAAAGCTGTCATTAAGGTTAGTGGGGCAGGAGATCAGTTACTCAGCGTCTGTGAACTGGGTGAGTTGTAATTGTTTTAATCTTGCTTCTCTCACAGCCAGTGCTTGCTTGGTTGCTAGAGAAAAATAAAACCCATGTGGTAGTTAGAATCTAGTTAATTCTTTAAGAGTAGGGTACAAGACTTAACGCTCGCCTGGCATGGCCCTAGGTCCTGTTTATAATTTGAGGTCTTATTGCCACAAAGAGTCTGTTCTGTCAGTCTCATGATCTCTATTTTAACATTAATGCTGTTCAGTTGTTGGGTCTAAACCATAAGAGGGAGGGAGGTACAGGGAGGTATGTCTGACCTCCTGTCCTGTCATGGCCAAGAACTGAATTTTAAGATTTATTTGAGGTTCCGTTGGCCAACAGGGGGTCTGTTAAGTCGGGTGGGGGGCTTAGGATTTTATTTTTAGTTTTCAAGGGAGATAAAATAATTTAATCAATTGGCCCCCGTGACTGTGGGATTAACATGGCTATGATCTGTCGGACAGACTTCACGCTGGCACCCAGGCAAAATTCTATGCTGTAGTAAATGCATCATGCACATTTGTAACAACACGTACATAACAATGTCACAAAATACTTTCACGGTGACACCTAGATTAGTATTTTATTGAATAGCTGATGATATAAACTGGCTCATTTGATGCCAAGACTGACCATCACCACCATACCAAGGTCATCACTGATCAGAGGCCTAACCCAAGGAGGGGGTCATGTGCAGACCCAGCAGTGGGGAGGAAAGATGCTGCAGAGGAGACGGATGCCCACAGAGGCCCCTGAGCAGACACAATGCTCACTAAGTGGTAAGTATAGACTCAACGTAGGCTGTAAGGTCTCCCCCTGTGCAAATGGGACCCCGTCCACTTGAGAGTCAAGGGTCTGTTTGGGTGGCAGGGATAGCCACTTCTGAAGGTAGAAAGGAAAATAAGCCACCAATTTGGTAGCTTTCTGTGAAATGGACATCGTGCTTAGAATCTCCATTTTCCCCACAACCTGGAGGAATAAGTACTGTCATCTGCATTTTGTAGCTGAAGAATCTGACTCAACAAAATTAAATTACTCGCCTAAGCAATTAGCAATTAACCAAGTCTTTCTGACTCAGAAACCCAGCTGTTGCCTGTTCATATCCAGCCCCTGTATTGGGGTCAAGATCTGGCCTGTTCTCAATGCAGCAAGATCCAGGCAGATCACACTGGACTCCCAGCACTGAATCTGGCTCGAGGGGACATCAAATTTGACTGGGTCATGGGGCTCAGGAGCATCACTCTCAAAAATAGCAGTACAGGAAGAGGCGATGGCCCTAAACAGCATTTGCAGGCAGATCCCATGTTAATCGTAAGGGTCAGGACTCTCACTTTTCTGTCTCTCTCTCTGTCTCTCCTCTAGGGCTGACCCCACATTGGACACCACTACATCCATGTCCATCACACACCACAGCTGCCTTTTCTTCTGCCTGCTTATGGGAAAGTCCCCTCCTCTCCTCCATTTTCTTCTCTTCCTGCCCTATCACACCGTGCACTTCTCCCTTTCCTTAAAGAACCACCATCAACTTTAGGAGGAGGGAAAGGGGTGGCTCTGGCAGGAAAAGCCAGAATCCCCTCTAGCCAGCAGAGAGAGAGGAATGGCTGCCTGTTTTCTCCCCCAGTCCAAGGCACTAGGTTTTGGCTAGGTTGCAGGTTCCAAGCTGCTCTCCTGCTGTGTCGGTGAGTTCTGGTCAACCTGCAACCTCCTGATGTGGCCACTGCAGTTCATCGAGTCTTCAGGGACTCCCCATGGCCTGGAGTACTTTGCCTTGCTTACACGGGAGAGGAGAATGGATTTATAGGGAACATCATCTAAATCCAACTTGACCATTGTGTGGCCACACTTGCTAGATTGCTATAGTCTAAATCTAGCATTGTAGAAAGACGGGGGAGCTTGGAGCTGCACAAACCCAGGTCTGGAACTGGCTCCTTACCTTGAAAGGTGAATGATCCTGGCAGGACTCTTAGCCTCCCTGGGCCTCAGTTTCTTTATCTGTTTCTTGCTGGTTGGTTGGGTGATGTGGGGGCTGTGTGAAAACAGCTTGTCAATACAAGCCGAAATAGGAATATTTCTCCACAGAGTATGAAGGTCAAATGAGAGAATACATTTAAATTAAATGGAAAATTAAAATGGCAGAAAAGGCAAAGTTGTATTGAAAGTTCCGAGCTTCTCTATAAGGAGCTTTTTGACTATGTAAGAATCCGGTACTCGTTCCCCCTAAATATAAAAAAAAAAGTTGAAGGAGGAAGAAGGGAGAGTGATGCATGATGGGCGAGGACTTCACCTGCTGTTGCTGGCTTTGAGGATGGAGGAAGGAGGCCACAAACCTAGAAGCTGGAGCCCCTAGAAGCTAGAAAAGGCAGGGACCCGATTCATCCCTTGAGCCTCCAGAAGGGACATAGCCCCGCCAGCACCTTGACTTTAGCCCAGTGAGATCCTCTTAGGACTTTTGGCAACCAGAACTATAAGACAGAAATGGAAGCCACTGAGTCTGTAGCTGTTTGTTGCAGCAGCAATAGAAAACTAATGCAGAGCCCAAGAAATCACTGGTGATGAGATGGGGAAGTGGGCTCAGGAGGTCTGGATCTGTGATGAGATGGGGAAAGTGGGGGAGGTCTGGATCTCTGATGAGATGGGGAAAGTGGGCTCAGGAGGTCTGGATCTGTGATGAGATGGGGAAAGTGGGCTCAGGAGGTCTGGATCTGTGATGAGATGGGGGAAGTGGGCTCAGGAGGTCTGGATCTGAGTTGGGGATCTGGAGTGGAAGGGGAATTCATTTGTTCATTGTCTATCCTTTTGCATTGATTGAGTTTTTTTCTATATATACATACATACATACATACATATATATATATATAATGTGAATTTTCACAATAAAAGTTTTTTCCAAAATAAAATAAACAAAAGGGGCTTTTTGCAACCCAATTCCTATCTATGTCTGAGTCCACTTGTATTGAATGAGTCTTTCTGCTAACGTCCTTATATTTGGGTGACAATCTGAATGTCAGTGACCAATCAGAGCAGAGGCAGACCTTGGAGTGGGCGGGGCACCCTGAGGGCCCTGATTCCCGCCATGAGGCATAACCCTTTAGGTGCCAGACCACGGGGAGGTCCAGGGGTTGCAGGGGAGGGCTGTGCATCTGCAATGACTCTCAGGGGGCTCCCGGTGGTGGCAATTGGTGAATCTGCACGGTGGTGTTTCAATATTGTCACAATCCTGCTGTCTCTCATGCTCTTAAAAAGCATTTCTCTTACCTGTGACAGACTTCCTATACCTAACAGCTTGCAAAAATTTTCCAGGTTAATGAGAATAATCTCTCGGAGCCATACCTCCCTGCTTGGGGTCTCAGTTTCCCCAACTGTCTCCAGACAAGTTAGGCTGGAAGGCCCCTGAGCCTCAGCCCCTCTATACCCCTCCTGTCACCCAGACCTGATCTGGGTCTTGCACCCTGGGTGCAGCAAGACAGGGGTGGGCAGGGGCTGGCTCTGGGCCAGAGGACCCTTTCTGATGGACTTCAGCTGTTGGCCTTCCAGGGGAGACTGATCAACCTCACAAGAGTCATACGGTGAGTAGCAGTGGGCAGATCCATCCCCCTCGTCTTAGATTTATGGGGAGACAGAGAGAAAGAGGAGACACTCCAGGAAGACCTGCAGGTGGGAGTACCAGGTTGAAACCAAGGACACATTCCTGGAGGAGCTGCTGTTTGAGCCAGCTCTGAGAACAGGTGGGGACAGGACTGGAGAGGAGGAGGGGGTCCCCTATGAGCAAAGACTGGCCACCACCCCATCTAACACCCCCACAGGGCCCCTGTGGCATCCCTGTCCAGTCCCTGTCACCACCCAGTTTTTCCCTCTGGACCCAGGAATTCAAAGTAAGCAAGGAGGTCCACTGCTCCAGTTGACTGCAAATAATTACAACCTTGAGCCCAAGCAGCACTTTGGGTCCTGGTTTGGGACCATGAAGCGGCTCGGTGAGACTGAGAGGTAAGGCCAGGACAGGAATTGGGATAGTAGGATTGAACTCTCCCTGGGGGCCAGCCTCAGAAAGCCTGTGGCCATGGCCTCTTGGCCAACATCAGATCCTGTGGTCTGGCAATGCCTGGGGTACCCAGACCTCACTCTGGACAGGCCCTGGGAGGGGGCCCTGGTGAGATTCCTGGCAGCCTCACAGCCACTCTTCTGTCCGTAGCTACAACATGTCATGCCAGCTGGAGGCTCCATCCCAGTTGGCTGGGAGCACAAAGGCCAGGAAGATAGACATCACCCACCACTGGGGCCAGTCGGGGCCTGAACCAGGGCGGGCAGAGGTTGGCTGCCTTGGGATATGGGTGGGCTCAGGGAGTCAGACAGCAAGGGACTAGCTTCCCATCCTACTGCTGACCAGCTCTGTGACTGGGGAGAGTCACCTTACTTCTCTGGGCCGAGTTTCCCCCTCTGTGGAGTGACACTAAATGCTCTCTCTGGAGACTGGGATCAATAGGGCACTGGTGATTGACCAGGCACTCAGCACATGCCTGGAGCACACAGTGCAGGGCTGTGGTGGGGAGGTGGCCTGAGTTCCTGGGGAGTCACCCATGTGTGCCTGCCCTTCTGACCAGCCACCAGGCCCTCAGGGCAGAGCCTACTACCAGCAGCAGCTCACACCCCGACACCAGCTCAGAGGCAGCCCCTACCTCAGCAGCAGGGACATCACGGACACTTTGAGCTGCTACTAGGGTGGCTTCCCCAGCTCCCACGTGGAGAGGGGTCCCAGCTGAGTCCCACTCACGTGGAGTCTCATGCCCATGAAAGTGCCATTCACCACTGGTCAGGCTCATGAGGCCGCATGAGAGGGGGGGTCACTGGGGAGGAGATATCGGGGTAACAGAGAGGGTGGTTGAATTTTTGTATAATAGGCAGTGCAAGTGTTTACCGTTTGGGAGGGGAAAGGTTTGTTATTATTAGCAATGCTACACTTGAATATTATACTAAAATCCACTTTCTCTATAACCTGGGAGTTGCTCTTTTGTTCTTTCTTTTCCCATCTTAATTAAAATGAGATGCAGACTCTCACGGTCCACAGTCGATTAAGAAATCTTGCACGGCCATCAGGTTATGTCTTGGAGAGCAGAGTTTCAGTACCATCAGCCTGGCAAGGAGCCGGGCCTGCTCCTCAGAGCTCCCGGGACTGTGAGAATTGGCATGTTCACAGGGCACTGTCACAGCCTCTGAAACACGCTGTCTTTAAAGACGTTTGCAGGCTGGACGCGGTGGCTCACTCCTGTAATCCCAGCACTTTGGGAGGCAGAAGCGGGTGGCTCACTTGAGGTCAGGAGTTCGAGACCAACATGGCCAACATGGCAAAACCCCATCTCTACTAAAAATACAAAAAATTAGCCAGGTGTGGTGGCAGGTGCCTGTAATTCCAGCTACTCGGGAGGCTGAGGTAGGAGAACTGCTTGAACCCAGGAGGCGGAGGTTGCAATGAGCAGAGATCACACCACTGCACTCCAGTCTGGGCAACAAGAGCAAAACTTCATCTCAAAAAAAAAAAAAAAAAAGAACACAAAGACATTTGCAAGGACCATGTCCTCACCCAGAATGGTGCCTGCCTTTCTACAGTTTTTCAGGAAGAGGAAACATTTTCTGCTTCTCTCGCTGAGGTTTTTTTTAACCACCCATTAGGAACGTACAGATTTCAGGATCGAACACTGGGATTCCCTCAGCACTAAAGGAGGAAAATTGCAAACAGAGCTGAAAGTGCAATGTGCAAAGGTCAGGCTGAGGAAGGTTCTTAGCCAGTAGACCAAGGGCAGGAAGGACACTGCCTCCTCAGTCTCCCACTTTGTGATTCTTGTCCCCTGACCTCAGAATTCCTTGTCATGTTTTGTCTCCAAGGGAAGGGTTTGAATTACAGAATTTAAGGCTAGAGTGGGCCTCGTGCAGTTAACATTAACCCTCTCTCTCCTTTGCTGGCCGAGGTGAAGTCCAGGAACATGTAGTTCTGATGTCCACTCTCTCGGGGGATCACCAGTTCACCCATCTCACCCGGCAAGCTGGGCCCTAGTTTGGTGACAGGCATCTTCCACCCACCTGGGAGGCAGGGTTCAATACTCTGCCTCTGACCTTGTTTCCTTCTTCTGCCATCTGCTTAGGCAGCCAGAAGGGGTTGTCCAGCCAGCACCTGGGCTTTGGCCCTCCTCAAGAAGGTGGAGGAAGTTTCAGGCACCTGGCTCCTCAGGTGTCTGCCATCCAGGTGCTCTTCAGGCCTGCCCAGAAGAGCTCTCTTGATCCAGCTAGAACTGGCCAGAACTGACTCACTCAGGAATGTGTAGACTTTGACATCAGGGGCTGCTTTAATTTGCACAATTTCCAAATACCTCTTTTTTCTTCTTTTTCTGATGAGTCATCTCCCTAGACTTGCATTTTAAAGAGATAGATAGTTATCAGATTCCAGAGAAGACATGGTAGAACATTTATATGTCAAAGACACAGAGCTGAGACTTTAGTTTTAGATACTATAATTTGCCTAAACCAAAAAGGAAGGTGTAGGTAAAGTTCTAGTCAAGACAGGATGGCCAGGAAAAACACCTTAAACCAAGGGACGGCTTGCTTTGCTGATTTAAGCCAATGGCTTCTTTATCATAAGACTTCCCAGTGATTTAGTCCTCCCTCTCTTCCAGTGCACAGAGACATACCCCTCCTTACAAATAAAAATGTTCTTTATAGATGGAAATTTATTTTACAAAAATGTTTCAAAATAACCAGATGAAAATCATCCTTATGCCAGAAAGACTTGGTTTTTTTTTTTTTCATTACTAGAAATGAAACAGTAAGTATTTGTTGTATTGACATACTTAGGCTTAGAACTATGTTTAACAAGAAAGCCTAATAATAGCACTGTGGTTAGACTGCAGCCTATTTTTCCAAACCATCATTTTATTATTAAGGAAACGAAGGATCAAATACCTTTCATTCATCTGATATGATCCTTTAAAACACATTCCACTAATAAGTCCCATTTGGAACAGCTGAAAATCTTTTAATAAAACTTTTTAAAGATGAGCTCATGGCTTAGTGTAAATTTCACAAGCTTAATTAGGTCAAATGGAAGGAACTCAGATGAGTAGTTGCCCAATCAGAGCCCACTATTTGTAAGTCATCAGACCCCTCCGTGACCTTAAAACTCCACTCTGACCTAATTATTGCAAACCTATATACAACAAAGTGAAAGGATTAATTTTCATTCATCAACCTCTCAATCCCAGATTTTCAAAGAAAAGACCTATGTAAGGAATACTTGCCAAAACCAGACAGGAGAATTAGAGCCTGCATACTTAAGAGTCAAATTTGTTCCACTACAGCCAGGTGGCATACAATTACATCATTTGGTTCTTCATACACTCTAGAACTGACTAGGACAGAGTTTAGCATAGAAAAACTGTAAGAAATAGGTTCTGAAACATAGAAATTGCGAAGTTCAAAAGGCTATGAAAAAAACTAATGCAAATGAGAGACTCCCCTCCCTTTGTTTTAAAGAAATAGACCCATCAGAGAAATGCAAATCAAAACCACAATGAGATACCATCTCACACCAGTTAGAATGGCGATCATTAAAAAGTCAGGAAACAACAGGTGCTGGAGAGGATGTGGAGAAATAGGAACACTTTCGCACTGTTGGTGGGACTGTAAACTAGTTCAACCATTGTGGAAGACAGTGTGGCCATTCCTCAGGGATCTAGAACTAGAGATACCATTTGACCCAGCCATCCCACTACTGAGTATATACCCAAAGGATTATAAATCGTGCTGCTATAAAGACACATGCACACGTATGTTTATTGCAGCACTATTCACAATAGCAAAGACTTGGAACCAACCCAAATGTCCAACAATGATAGACTGGATGAAGAACATGTGGCACATATACACCATGGAATACTAGGCATCCATAAAAAATGATGAGTTCATGTCCTTTGTAGGGACACGGATGAAGCTGGAAACCATCATTCTCAGCAAACTATCGCAAGGACAAAAAGCCAAACACCACATGTTCTCACTCATAGGTGGGAATTGAACAATGAGAACACTTGGACACAGGAAGGGGAACATCACACACCAGGGCCTGTTGTGGGGTGGGGGGAGGGGGGAGGGATAGCATTAGGAGATATGCCTAATATAAATGATGAGTTAATGGGTGCAGCACACCAACATGGCACATGTATACATATGCAACAAACCTGCACACTGTGCATGTGTACCCTAGAATTTAAAGTATAATAAATAAATATAAAAAAATAAAAAAAGAAATAGATGTTCTGTAAAAAATACACAATTTTTACAAATACATTTATAAGTTGTTTTTATCTTAAAAATTGGGGATATTTCATATTTATAACTAATTATTGAACCTTAAGTTTTCTTGGCCATTTCTAGGCTAATAAACTACGAATCATGTAAACTAAGCCAAAGTAGAATAGACATAAAAGTCCTCAACACTTCAACTTCCTATCCTTCAAGAAGTATACCTCGCAAAGCTCATTTGAGAGAGGAAAAGCTTTCCTCCACCCTCTGTTTTACAGCGCTGAGGCTTCTCATCACATTTCTATGACTTGTAGCTTAAATCCATGTTACATGGTAACTGGCATTGTTAGTGCTTCTCTTTTAACACAGTAGGAATTAATCAATTTGGTGGTGTATTTAATTAATTCTATCACTAGAGGATTGTAAAATTACATATATGAATACCTCACTTTAGAGGCCACTTAATTTTTTTCCAAGGGGATATTTGACTACATTTCACTTGTGTCTTATTTAATGATTTTATAATTTAAACCCTAAATTATAAATCTAGAATTTAGAAAGTATATTTCCCCACTGGATTACATTTTTGGAAATATTATTTTATATGTGCACAAATATTACAAAATCACTGTAGACACCTGAAAACTATATTATCTTTTAAAAGCAATATTTACATTAAACTGGTATAACAAAATTGTTTGGTGCATTTTTTTCCAGTACATTTTGTATATATTACATGTTTAACCTTTTTTATTCAGCAAATAATTTTTGAGTATCTACTAAGTGCTAGGTTCTGCATTACTAACTGAATTTAAAGAGTGAAATAACAGACATGGTCTCAGACAATAAAAATTAACATTAGGTCACCTATTTATATATTTTAAAATGGTAATTATGAAAACTTTTTGAGATTTTTAACTAGATAACATTATAATAATACACTTGATGTTGTTAATATTTGCCAGTGAGCAAAAAAGAAAATAAAAAGATGGTTTTATTCAATATACACTTTAAAATTGCAGAAAATAGTCAAGTTTCTCTGCTTTGCAGTTGAATGTCTATGTGGTTTTCTCCACAACTTGCCTTTTGTGGAGTGAAACAATTATTCTTCCAGCCCAATAAAGGCAGAAGAGTAACAATAAATCTAATATTTTAAGTGCTTCTCAAAAGATAGTAAACATATTACTTCAGAATACTGAGTTCAATAAGTTGACCTACAAAAAAAGCCAAACTGACAGTATTACTGAATAAGGAAAGGCCCAAAGAGAAAAAATAATTTTTATTTTGTAACCTCGGTATGACACAACTTACCCTAACTATAAAGACCCTAAATTACCAAGATGGGTGCTTATAATAAGGAGAGTAAAAAAAGTCATTTGACTTTTAGCTTTTTTATTTCTCTCAGAATAAAAAGTGTAAAAGGAGTTTATAAAGAAGTTGATACTATAAGTTAGTACTACAATGACAGCACTTTTCAAGAAAAGACTTTTTTCTCTCTTACAAATATCATGTTAACAGTACTTGTTTTCTCCAGAAATAATGAGGAAATAAAAACATAAGTATGTGGGTAATTAGTGTAGTTTCTTAAAGAAATGAGTTAGGCAACAGGCTAATAATGTATACTTAGCTGGCTTTTGAATGCCAACAATCATATTCTTTATAAGGCACAGAGAAGATTTTTCTGAAGAATAAGTATGTGAACCTGAGAAGTAATCACCACTTGGTAGTGACAATATGGATAGGGTGAAGGGTGTCATCAAGAAGCAATGAAAAGATACATTTGCAGTTCAATTTGAAAACCATGATGTTTAATACATATAGTAATAAAGAATACTTTCTCCTATTTCAAAATTATTTTAGAATTTAAGATAGAAGCTAAAATACCTAGGGATAATGATATGACTATCAAAAATTAAAAATTAAAGGACATTCTGAGTATTATAAGAATGAGAACTTATTACCCAATGAACAGGGGTTAATTCATTATGCTCCATATCCATTGAATTAAAAGACAGGCCCATTACCTGGATAATTTGAAAGTTTAATTTTATTTAAAAGTCTTGTTTCATTCATCAAGCTAAAGGATTAGCTCCCAGAAATATTCTAGGATTGCATATCCCCAACTCTGTAGGAAGTATAGAAAGAATGTTATAAGGGCCACCATCTAAACATTATTATGTAAATAATTTAGTACCATTCCATTTGCCCTTGTAGATTTAAAAATGTAAATGGCTTTCTCATATTAGGAAACATCACTTTTCAAAACTCAGATAAACATAGTACATTGCAAGAGAATAATTATTTTCTTTATTAAAAAAGAAATACTGGATGTTAAGTCCAAAAGACATAAATTATTTTATACTAATAACTACTAATATTTTATTCATTAAAATATAAAGGTCAAAGATTTCAAAATGATCTTTAAATGACTAATAACATGTTGATCTTTTTCTTCTTTCTGTAAACCTTTTTGAGTCTTAAAAATACTAAACTATACAAGCAATATTAAATAGTATATAAACTTGGATTAAAATATTCAAATTTACTAGAATGTGGACATTGGAAAGAATGAAAATAAACAGAAGCATAAAGCAGCAGATATAAAATTAAGAAAGCAACTAAGAGTGTTTAAAGTACATATTCATCTGTAGTCTAATGTCTACCATAAACAATGACTCTTCTCAGTAAAACACAAATTGTTCATGAAGGGAAAAAGCATGTTGTATTAGAGAATATTCAACATAATTTTTTTAGTACTAACTTGTGCCTGGAGTATTATTGGTTTTTCTATTATGAACTTATGCACTTGTTAATTTTTTTCATAAAAATTATATGTACAACTCCATTCAAAAGCAGTTTTTGGTGGGTTTTTTTTTTTTTTGAGACAGAGTTTTGCTCTTTTCACCCAGGCTGGAGGGCAATGCTGCGAATTTGGCTCACAGCAACCTAGCAACTTTTGCCTCCCAGGTTCAGGTGATTCTCTTGCCTCAGCCTCTCGAGTGGTTAGGACTACAAGCATGCACCACCATGCCTGGCTAATTTTGTGTTTTTAGTAGAGACATGGTTTTGCCATGTTGACCAGGCTGGTCTTGAACTCCTGACCTGAGGTAATCCACCCATCTTGGCCTCCCAAAGTGCTGGGTATGGGCAAGAGCCACCATACCTGGCCTCAGAAGCAGTTTTTAAAAGCAAACACAGTATAACACTAAAGTTGAAAAATCTATGCTCACCCAAGGATGCCAGGTTTAATAAATTATTTATAGAATACTGCATCAAAAATAAGATAATAACCCAAAATATACCATTAAAGATGTATCCACTCCTACAACTAGAGATAATTAATCTATCTAGTAGCAAATGATACTTCAATCAGTTTCAGCATGTCTGAAATCTTTAAGGACAAAAGTGATAAAACATGACTTCATTCTTCATTAGACTCTTAGAACACTTGAAGGAAAATAATTTCTGAAGCACAAAGAAGTAAAGAGGTGTAATCTTTCAAAAAGATATTCAGTGTTCAAAATCCAAGAGTGCAATATCAGGCTGGGTGCGGTGGCTTATGCCCGTAATCCCAGCACTTTGGGAGGCCATGGTGGGTGGATCACCTGAGGTCAGGAGTTCGAGACCAGCCTGGACAACAAGGTGAAACTCTTGACTGTACTAAAAATACAAAAATTAGCCAGGCATCGTGGTATGCACCTGTAGTCCTAGCTACTTGGGAGGCTGAGACAGGAGAATCACTTGAACCTGGGAGGTGGAGGTTGCAGTGAACCGAGATCATGCCACCTCACTCCAGCATCAGTAACAGAATGAGATGCCATCTCAAAAAAAGAAAAGAGTCTAATATCGGTATACACAGATAATATACTGAATGAAACAAATAGAATAATTTGAAGAGGTATCTTGATGAACAAGGAGTCATTAGAAAGGTTGTATTCATGTCTTTGAAGGAAATTGCAATGTGAGAAATTAATACTTTGACTACTATACTAAAAGTTTATTGCTAACATGTATTGAGTTATTAACGTGTGTTAGGCAGAGTACCATATAATTTACAAGTGTTATCTCATTTATTGTAGGTAAAATGTAATTTTGAACTCTGGGAGTATAAATGAATTAGATAGAATAAAATTCTATTTAAATGGCCATCAGTAAATCGGTATCTAGGAACAGGGTGATACGGTGCCCAAGTTTTCTATTCTTACTAAATGTTGTGTTTCATTTTCAATGTTTTCTTGGATATTGCTCTTTTTTGGTGATTTTGATTTTTTTTATTTTAGAAAACTAATAAATTGACTCTTCTTGGTACTGACTCGGGTTCTATAGAAGAAAAAGTAATTAAATTATGTATATTTACCTTTGTCTCATTTTTTCTCTTTTAAATTTACTTTAATTGACATATAATAAATGTGCATGTTATGGGGTACAGAGTGATATTTTGATATATTTATGCAATGCGTAAAGATCAAGTCAGAGTCATTATCATATCCATTACCTTAAATCATGTATTCTTTGCAGTGAGAATATTCAAAATCTTTTATTTTAGTTATTTGAAAACACACAATAAATTCCCGTTAACTACAGTCACCCAACAGTGCTGTAGAGAACTAGAACTTCTTCCTTCTCTCCAGCTGTAATTTTGTATGTATTAACCACATTTTTCTTATACTCTTCTTTCTCCTACTCTTTCCAGGATATGGTAACCAAAACTCTACTATCTACTTCTACGAGATTAAACATTTTAGCTTCCATACATAAGTGAGAACACGTAGTTATGTGGTGTTTATGTTTCTATGCCAGGCTTATTTCACCTAACATAATGCCCTCCACTTGCATTCTTGTTGCCACAAATAACAGGATTTTGTTCTTTATTATGACTAAATAGTATTCCATTATATATGTATGTCACATTTCTTTATCCATTCATCTGTTGATGGACACTTTTGTTGATTCCACATCTTGGCTATTGTGAATAGTGCTGTAATAAACATGGGGGTGCAGGTAAGTCTTTGATATACTGATTTTCTTTCCTTTGGATATATACTGAAAACCATATGATTAAATTAATAAACACAATAAAAGCGTTTGGCAAAATTAAATATTCTTACATGACAAAAAACCTCTCAACAATTTAGTATAGAAAATATATGCCTTAAAACAGAAGGACATAAAGGACAAACCTACAACTAAGATCATACTGAGTGTGGAAAAGGTGAAAGATTTTACTGTGAACAAGAAAAAGATTTTACTGGAACAAGAAAAGGATGCCTATTCTCACCAATCATATTTCACATAGTGAAAGTCTTAGCCAGGACAATTAGGTGAGAAAAAGAAATAAAGGACATCTGAATTGGAAAGGAGACAGTCAAATTGTCCCTGTTTAAAGACAATGTGATCTTATACACGGAAAAAAATAAGACTCTACCAAAAGCTTCTTAGGGTGATACATGAAATTAATAAAGTTGCAGGATATAAATCAACATACAAAAATCAGTAGCATTTCTATATATTGATAGTAAACTAGCTGAAACAAGAAATTAAGAAAGCAATTCCTTTTACAATAGCTACAAAAATGTACTTAGAAATAAATTTAACCAAGGAAGTAAAAGATTTCGACAACAAAAATGACAAATATTAATGAAAGAAATTAAAGAAAACACAAAAAAGGAAAGACATCCACGTTTATAGATTGAAATAACTAATATTCTTAAAATGACCCACTATCCTATGTGATTTACAAATTTGGTACAATCACTAGCTTGTATTTTTAAAAGCACCTTTGTTGCATATTCTTAAGATATTCAATGACAATGCCTGGATTTAAGTTTGAGGTATTATTATATCTATTTTATACTGGGCACAATATAATGTTATCAGAGGTAACGGTTTTGATTGGTCCTAGGTCATACAGTAATATATACATTGTGATTTATAGACATGCTATCTTTTAATACTCAGGCATTTAGAAAGTTCATTTAGACAAAGTTATAAAAACTTGCTGTCCTTTCTGCCTATATCACCTAAAAATCCTAATTTAAGAGGTAATAACATTTTTTATTTGATATACAATTTATCAACACAATAAAAATCTAACAATTATCATGTGCAGAGTGTGAAAATCTCATCAGATTAAGGAACACAAAGACATCTTTTTCATATTTCGAATGTAAAACTGTTTTGGAAACTGTTATTTTTAGAAACAGTTAAAAACATTTTTTCATTAGTTTTTCATGTAAAATTGTGACAACCAGCATGAAATAACTGTCATCACAGAAGCATGGTATATTCGATTCCAAAACATATTCTTTGTAAGTTTTAATATATTTACGTATTATTTATACTTAGATTGTAACCCATAATGTACAGATATTATTTTTCCTTCAACTCTTAAGAATATTCTTAAATAATAAAATTAAAATTAATGAATTATAATTTTTGTTGCTTGGGAAAAAGAATAGACACACACGTGACAGTGCATCACTTCACCCCATCATTTCATCTCATCATTTCATCATTTCATCTCATCATTTTATCTCATTTCATCTCATCCCATCTCATCTCATCATTTCATATCATCTCATCATTTCATCTCATCATTTCATCAAATCTCATATCATCTCATTTCCATTTCATTTTCATTATTTCATTTCATCATTTCATTTCACTATTTCATTTCATTTCATCTAATTTCATTTAATTCATTATGTCATTTCATATAATCTCATTTCATTTCATCTCATATTTTTGATATCATTTTTCATCTCATTTCATCTCAATTCATCTCATCATTTCATCTCCTCATCTCATTTCCTCCTTTCATTACAACATTTCATCTCATTTCTTCTCATCTCATTTCAATTTCATTATTTCATCTCATTTCATTATTTCACCTAATTTCATTATTTCATCTCATCTCATCTCAGTTCATCTGATCTCATTTCATCTCAGCATTTCATCTCATCATTTTTCATCTCATCATTTTTCATCTCATCATTTCAGCTCATTTCATTTCATTTGATCTCATCATTTCAGCTCATTTCATGTCACATCTATTCATTTCATCATTTCATTTCAACATTTCATCATTTCATCGCATCATTTCATCTCATCTTTCAATTTCATTTCAATATCATTTCATCATTTCTTTTCATTTCATCTCATTTCATTATTTCATTATTTCATTTCATTTCATCTCATCATTTCATCTCATCATTTTTCATCTCATCATTTTTCATCTCATCATTTTTCATCTCATCATTTTTCATCTCATCATCTCATCTCATCATTTCATCTCATTTCTTCTCATCATTTCATCTCATCATTTTATCTCATTTCATCTCATCTCATTTCAATTTCATTATTTCATTTCATTTCACTTCATTTCATTTCATCTCATTTTATCTCATCTCATTTCATCTCATCATTTCTTCTCGTCTCATCTCATCATTTCATCATTTCATCTCGTTTCATCTCATTTCATCTCATCTCACCTCATATCATCATTTCATCTCATCACATCTTTTCATCTCATCATTTCATCTCATTTCATCATTTCATCTCATTTCAACTCATTTCATTTCATTTGATCTCATCATTTCAGCTCATTTCATGTCACATCTATTCATTTCATCATTTCATTTCAACATTTCATCATTTCATCGCATCATTTCATCTCATCTTTCAATTTCATTTCAATATCATTTCATCATTTCTTTTCATTTCATCTCATTTCATTATTTCATTATTTCATTTCATTTCATCTCATTTCATCTCATCATTTTTCATCTCATCATTTTTCATCTCATCATCTCATCTCATTTCATCTCATTTCTTCTCATCATTTCATCTCATCATTTTATCTCATTTCATCTCATCTCATTTCAATTTCATTATTTCATTTCATTTCACTTCATTTCATTTCATCTCATTTTATCTCATCTCATTTCATCTCATCATTTCTTCTCGTCTCATCTCATCATTTCATCATTTCATCTCGTTTCATCTCATCTCATCTCACCTCATATCATCATTTCATCTCATCCTTTCATTTCATCTCATCGTTTCATCTCCTCATTTCATCTCATCTCACCTCAGCATTTCATCATTTCACCTCATCATTTCTTATTTCATCTCATTTTATCTCATTTCATCTCCTATATCAATTCAATTTCCTTTCATTATTTCATCTCATTCATTTCATCTCATTTCATTACATCTCATCATTTCCTCTCATCATTACATCTCATCTCATCTCATCATTTCATCATTTCATCTCATCATTGCATCTCATCATTTCATCTCATTTCGTCTCATCATTCATCTCGTCATTTCATCTCATCTCATCATTTCCATTTCATTATTTCATTTCATCATTTAATTTCATCATCTCAATTTCACCTCATTTCATTATTTCATTTTTTCGTTTCATTATGTCATTTCATTTCATCTCATTTCATCTCATCATTTCATTTCATCTCATCTTTTCATCTCATCATTTCATCTTATCATCTCATCAACTCTTTTCATCTTATCATTTCATCATGTCATCTTATCACGTCAGTTCATCTCGTATCTGCTCATCTCAGTTCAATTTCATGTCATTATTTCATTTCATTATGTCATGTCATCTCATCTCATCATTTCATCTCATCACATCTCATCATTTTATCATTTTATTTCATCATCTCATCATTTCATCTCATCTCATTTCAATTTTATTTATTTATTTCAATTTCATTTCATCTCATCAGTTCATCTCATCATTTCATCTCATCATCTCATCTCATCTCATCATTTCATCTCATCATTCATCTCATTTCATATCATTTTATCTCATCTCATTTCATCTCATTTCATCATTACATTTCATCTCATTTTATGTCATCATTTCATGTCATCATTTCATCACATCTCATCTCATCATTTCATCTCATTTCATCATTTCATCTCATTTCAACTCATTGCATCTCATCTCATTTCCATTTCATTATTCCATTTCATCATTTCATTATGTCATTTCACCTCATCATATTTCATCTCATTTCATCTCATCATTTCATTTCATCTCATCATTTCATCTCATTTTATCTCATCTCATCTCATCATTTCTTCTCATCTCATCATTTCCATTTCATTTTCATTTCATTATTTCATCATTTCATTATTTCATCTCATTTCATTATTTCATTTCATTATGTCATTTCATTTCATCTCATTACATTTCATCTCATTTCATCTCATCATTTCATCCATCATTTCATTTCATTTCATCATTTCATCTCATGATTTCATCTCATCTCATCATCTCATTTCATCTCATTATTTCATCTCATTTCATCTCATCTCATTTCATCATTTCATTTCATCATTACATCTCATCATTTTATCTCATTTCATCTCATCCCATCTCATCTCATCATTTCATATCATCTCATCATTTCATCTCATCATTTCATCAAATCTCATCTCATCTCATTTCCATTTCATTTTCATTATTTCATTTCATCATTTCATTTCACTATTTCATTTCATTTCATCTAATTTCATTTAATTCATTATGTCATTTCATATAATCTCATTTCATTTCATCTCATATTTTTGATATCATTTTTTCATCTCATTTCATCTCAATTCATCTCATTTCATCTCCTCATCTCATTTCCTCCTTTCATTACAACATTTCATCTCATTTCTTCTCATCTCATTTCAATTTCATTATTTCATCTCATTTCATTATTTCACCTAATTTCATTATTTCATCTCATCTCATCTCAGTTCATCTGATCTCATTTCATCTCAGCATTTCATCTCATCATTTTTCATCTCATCATTTTTCATCTCATCATTTCAGCTCATTTCATTTCATTTGATCTCATCATTTCAGCTCATTTCATGTCACATCTATTCATTTCATCATTTCATTTCAACATTTCATCATTTCATTTCATCATTTAATTTCATCATCTCAATTTCACCTCATTTCATTATTTCATTTTTTCGTTTCATTATGTCATTTCATTTCATCTCATTTCATCTCATCATTTCATTTCATCTCATCTTTTCATCTCATCATTTCATCTTATCATCTCATCAACTCTTTTCATCTTATCATTTCATCATTTCATCTTATCACTTCATTTCATCTCGTATCTTCTCATCTCATTTCAATTTCATTTCATTATTTCATTTCATTATTTCATGTCATCTCATCTCATCATTTCATCTCATCACATCTCATCATTTTATCATTTTATTTCATCATCTCATCATTTCATCTCATCTCATTTCAATTTTATTTATTTATTTCAATTTCATTTCATCTCATCAGTTCATCTCATCATTTCATCTCATCATCTCATCTCATCTCATCATTTCATCTCATCATTCATCTCATTTCATATCATTTTATCTCATCTCATTTCATCTCATTTCATCATTACATTTCATCTCATTTTATGTCATCATTTCATGTCATCATTTCATCACATCTCATCTCATCATTTCATCTCATCATTTCATCATTTCATCTCATTTCAACTCATTGCATCTCATCTCATTTCCATTTCATTATTCCATTTCATCATTTCATTTCATTATGTCATTTCACCTCATCATATTTCATCTCATTTCATCTCATCTCATCATTTCATTTCATCTCATCATTTCATCTCATTTTATCTCATCTCATCTCATCATTTCTTCTCATCTCATCATTTCCATTTCATTTTCATTTCATTATTTCATCATTTCATTATTTCATCTCATTTCATTATTTCATTTCATTATGTCATTTCATTTCATCTTATTACATTTCATCTCATTTCATCTCATCATTTCATCCATCATTTCATTTCATTTCATCATTTCATCTCATGATTTCATCTCATCTCATCATCTCATTTCATCTCATTATTTCATCTCATTTCATCTCATCTCATTTCATCATTTCATTTCATCATTACATCTCATCATTTCAACTCATCTCATTTCAATTTCATTTCAATTTCATTACATTTCATAATTTCCTTTATTTCATTTCATTTCATCTCATTTCATTATTTCATTTCATTATTTCATTTCATCTCATTTTTCATCTCATTTCATCTCATCATATCATCTCATCGTTCATCTCATTTCATCTCATTTTATCTCATTATTTCATCTCATCTCATCTCATTTCAATTTCATTATTTCATATCATTTCATTATTTCATTTCATTTCATCTCATCATTTCATCTCGTTTCATCTCATCATTTCATCATCTCATCATTTCATCTCATTTCATCTCATCTCATCTCCTTTCAATTTCTTTTCAACTTTGTCATTTCATCTCATCATTTAATCTCATCATTTCCACTCTGCATTTCATCTCAAAATTTCATCTCATCATCTCATCTCATCTCATCATTTTGTCATTTCATCTCATCATTTCATCTCATCTCAAGTCATCTTATCATTTCATCTAAGTGAAATGACATAATGGAATCATGAAATGAAATGGATAGGATGCCCTCAGTGATGTTAAATTTAAAAATTGTTTCTTTTCATGCATGCATTTTTATATTTATATGTATTTATATTTATATTTACTAATATTTCTTTTTACTTATTTTTATTTATATTTTTACTTATTTCTTTATTCATAGACAAGGTCCTGTTCTGTGGCCTAGGCTGGAATGCAGTGGTGCATTCACAGTTCGCTGCAGCCTCGAGAAAACCTCCCACATTAGCCTCCCAGGTAGCTGGGACCCCAGGTGCGCACCACCACACCTGGTTAATATTTTATTATTTGTAGAGATGGAGTCTTGCTATTCTGCCCAGGCTGGTCTCAAACTCCTGGGCTCAAGCAATCCTCCTGCACTGGCAACCCAAAATGCTGGGATGACAGAAATGAGCCACAGTGCCCAACCTATTTATTTATTTATTTAATAAGGACAAGGTCTCACTATGTTGCCCAGGCTGGTCAACTCCTAGACTCAAATAGTTCTCCAAACTTGGCCTCTCAAAATGTTGGGATTACAGGTATGAGCCACCATGCCTGGCCTAAAAATAGTATTATATTTTTGTGTCATATAATTTTCAATTAGGTAATATGAATATTCTGTACAGGAAATACGCCCTTAATTACATAGGAATAAACGTTTGTTACACTGAGAAAAATCTAATAGAGCTAAAAATAAAAATTAATTTGGAAAGGTCATTAGATACTGATACATTCTTACGTTTATACATTCTTTCATATATTCATATATTCTTTTAACAGTATCAATGGTTTGGAGTTATGTGTACAAAACCATGACCTATATGTAATACAACTAATAACAGGCATTTACAATTCAAGGCATATTATATACAAAGCTTAACTTCTTATCAAAATATTTTGTTTTTTTTCTTTCTGTTTTGGCAGATACTATGAACACTACATTCAACTCACAGACACCATGGAGTCCTTACTAAGCATAAAGTACTGTGAAAGGCCAGGGCTAGGACAGAACTGAGACAGGGCCAGGGATAGGACAGAACAGGGGCAGGGTCATGGCCAGAGAAAATCCAGGGGCAGGGTCACGGCCAGGGACATGAGAGGACCAAGGCCAGGGCCAGAAGCAGGGCAGAACCAGGGCCAGGGCAGGGACATGGCAGGGCCAGGGCCATGGCAGGATCAGGGTCAGCAGAAGGCCAGGGCAGGGCTAGGGTAGCGCAGGGCCAAGGCAGGGCAGGGTCAGTGTAGAGCAAGGAACGGGCCAGGGTATGGCAGGGCAGGGACAGGGAGGTCCAGGGCCAGAGTCAGGTCCAGGACATGGACAGGACAGGGCCAGAAATATGGCAGGACCAGAAAGGGGACAGGGCAAGGGCAAGGCCAGAGAAGGACCATGGAAAAAACATGGCCAGGGAGGGTCCAGGGCAAGGGCAAGGCCAGGGCAGAACCAGAGCCAGAGCAGGCCAAAGGCAGGGCCAGGGCAGGGCAAGGTCAGGGTAGGGCGGGGCCAGTGTAGGGTGAGGGTAGGGCCAGGGTGAGTTCAGGGCCAGGGCAGGACTAAGATAGCACAGGGCCAAGGCAGGGCCAGGGCAGGGCCAAAAGGAGGGGCCAGGGCCAAGCATGGCCAGTGTCAGACCTGGGGATTGTCAGGGCCAGGGTCAGGGTCAAGGCTGGGCCAGGGACAGGGCCAGAGCAAGGGCAGGGCCAGGGAGAAAGCAGAACCAGAGAGGATCCAGAGCAAGGCCAGGGTCAGGGCAGAACCAGGACCAGGATAAGGCAAAGCCAAGGCCAGGGCAGGGCAAGGCCAGGGCAAGGCAAGACCAGGGAAGGGCAAGGCCAGAGTAGAAAAGGCCAGTGTAGGGCCAGGCCAGGGTAGGAGAAGGCCATGGTAGGGCCAAGGCCAAGGCAGGGCAGGGCTAGGGTAGCACAGGGCATGGCCAAAAACAGGGCAGGGCCATAACAGTGGCAGGACTAGCAACAGGGCCAGGGCAAGCGCTGGACCAGAGCATGGTGGGGACAATACAGGGCCAGGACAGACGATGGCAAGGCAGGTCCAGGGCCATTTCATGGACTCAGTAGGCCTGGGGTCAGGCCAGGGCAGGGCAAAGGCAAGACCAGGGAGAAGGCAGGGCCGGGGCCAAGGCAGTGCCAGGGCAGGGCAGGACCAGTGCAGGGCCAATGCAGGGTGAGGGCAAGGCCAGGGCATGGAAGGGCAGGGCAGGACCAAGGAAGGGCCAGGAGAGGGCCACGGCAGGGTCACGGCCAGAACAAGGGTATGGCTGGGGTCAGGAATGTGGTAGGACGAGGGCTGGGCCCAGGCTGGGACACGCAGGGCAGAGCATGATCTGTGCAAGGCACGGCCAGAGCCAGGCCATAGAGATGGGAGGGCAACACCAAGGCAGAGTCAGGGTAGATCCAGGGCTGAGCAGAGTCAGGGCAGGTCCAGAGTCGAGGCAGAGCTAGGGCCCAAGCAGGGCCATGGTAGCACCAGGGCAGAGGAGGGCAGGGCAATGCAGGACTGGGCCATGGCAGTGCCTGGTCAACTCCCGGGCAGGGCCAGAAGCAGGACAGGGCCAGGGCCAATGCTCAGGCCAGGGACAGGGCATGACAGGAAGTGCCAGAGCAGGGCTGGACCAACGTTGGGGCAGGGCAAATCAGACCAGGACACCTCCAAGTCCATCTCTGGCCCTGCCTTGGCCCTGGCCCCTTCCTGGCCTGACCTTGTCCCTGGCCCTGCCCTATCCATGCCCTGTGTGTTTGACCAGTGTTTTATAACCAGAATCCTACAAGAAACTTAAATTAGTTCTTTTTGTGCATTTTTAGTAGAGATGGGGTTTCACAATGTTGCCCAGGCTGGTTCCAAACTCCTGAGCTCAAGCCATCTGCCTGCCTTGGCCTCCCAAAGTGCTGGGATTACAGGAGTAATCTGGCCAAGTATTTAACTTCTTTATACCTGTTTCCTACATTTGGAAAATGGGGATGCTTTAAGTACCTAGCACATAGAATTATTGTGAGAATCAATGCCTCACATATTAACATATTGATAAAATTATACTCATAGAACACTACTGGAAGCAAAGATAGTATTAGTTAAAATTTAGTGATTACTGCAAATATTATTACTATTACAAACAATATAGTATAGACATTACTACTACTATAGTTATCTTAAAAATCTAAAATAAAAATTTTATGTAATAGCCCAATGTAATCTCTCCTGCTCTGTCCTGGCTCAGCCCTAGTGCCGGCTCTGCCCCTAGTCCTACTACATCCCTGGCCCTGACCCTTCCCTGGTCCAGCCGCTGCCCTGGCCCTTCCCATCTTCAGGCCTTACCATGGCCCTACCCTGGTCCTGACCCTGCCCTGGTCTGGTCCTGACCCTGGCCCTACCCCAGAGAAGGGGTATGGCAGAGCCAGGGAAGGGCCAGGGTAAGTAAGGGACAGGACACATCCAAATCCAGGAAAGGGCCAGGGCCATGACAGAGCCAGGGCGAGTCCTTGGCAGGGCCAGGTTCCAGGCCAGGGCCAGGAAAGGGTCATGGCAGGGTCACTGTATGGCCAAGGTCCAGGCCAAAGCCAAGGCAGTGGCAGGGTCAGGTCTGCATAAGGGCAGGACCAGAGCCAGTGATACGGCAGGGCCAGGGCCAGGGCCAGGGCTGTGCCAGGACAGAACAAGAGCAGAGCAGGGCAGGACCAGAGCCAGGCCATAGAGAGAGTAGGGCAAATGCCAAGGCAAGGCCAGGGTAGTGCCAGGGCTGAGGCAAGATCAGGGAAGGTCCAGGGCTCAGTCAAGGCTAGAACCAAGACAGGGGCAAAGGCCGGGGCAGATCTAGGGCACAAGCAGGGCAGGCTAGGGCAGGGCAATGGCAAGACCAGGCCATGGCAGGGCCAGCCCAGGATAGAACAGGGCACAGGCAGGGCAGGGCCAGGGCCACGGCTGGGGCAGGACAAGGACCAGGACTGGAGTCCAGGCCAGGGCAAGGGTATGGCCAGGGCAGAGGTAGGGCCAGAGCCAGGGTCTGGGCAGGACCAAGGCAGGTCTATTGCAGGGCCAGGGTTCAGACCAGGGCCAGAGCAGGGCTGGGACAGGGCCAGGGCCAGAACCAGGAAAGGGCAATGTCAGGACAAGGGCCGTGGCAGGACCAGCAATGGGGCTGGGGCCAGGACAGGGACAGGGACAGGGTCAGGGCTAGGGCCAGAATAGCATGCCAGGGTAGAGCCAGGCCAAATTAGGGCCAGGACAGGGTCAGGACCAGGGCTGGGCCAGGGTATGGCCTTAAGTAGCGAAGGGTCAGGGCCAGGGTCCATGCCAGTGCCAGTGCTGGTCCAGGGAAGATGCAGGGCCATGGCCAGATCTAGGACAAGGCTGGGGCAGGGCCAAGGTCTGGGTCAGGGTCAGCAGAAGGCCAGGACAGAGCCAGGGGAGGGACAGGGCCATGGTAAGACCAGGTTACATCAGGGACAAGACACCTGCAAATCCACTTCAGGGCCAGGGTCAGGGCAGGGCCAGTTCAGGGCCAGGGCCAAGACAGGGCCAGGGTCAGGGCTGCCAGGGTCATTGGCAGGGCCAGGGCCATGGCAGGACCGGGGTCAGGAGCAGGGGTCAATGCCAGGCCTAGGCCACACATAGGACCAGGTCTGTGCTAGGGCCAGTGTGAGGGCCAAGGCAGGGTCAGGGCAGGGCCAAAGGGAGGGCAGGGCCAGGGCAGGGTGGAGCAGGCCCAGGGTAGCACAGGGTTAAGGTAGGGCACGACCAACCAGGGCAGGTCTATGGTTGGGGCCGGGGCAGGGCCAGAGCCAGGGCACAGCCAAGACAGTGGCAGCTCCTGGGCAGGGCCAGGGTTAGGACCATGGACATGTCCAAGGCCAGTGCCAGGGCAACAGCAAGGGCAGGAGCAGGGCCAGGTTCATCTAAGAACCAGGGACAAAGCCAGGCCCAGAGCTGGGCCAGGACAGGTACCTGGCAGGGCTAGGGTCTGAGACAGGGCCACAGCAGGACCAGGGCCACAACCAGGTCTGTGCTATGGCCAGGTCCAACACAGTGCCCAGGTAAGGCTAGGGTGAAGGCCAAGGTAGGGCCAGGGCAGGGTCAAAGCCAGGCTAGGGCCAAGGCAGGGCCAGGGCCGGCAAGGCAGGGCCAGGAAAGCATAGGGCCAGGGCAGGGCAGGGCCAGGGCAGGGCAGGGCCAGGACAGTGCCAAGACCTGGGCAGGGCCAGGGCCAGGGCCATGGCCACGGCCTGGGGAAGACCAGGTTCAGGGCAGGAGCAAAACAATGGCAAGGACAGTGCAGGTTCTTGGCACAGCCAGGGTCCAGGACAGTGTCAGGGCAGGGCCAAGGCAGGGTCTGGGCCATGGTAAGACCAACAACAGGGCTGGGGCTAGGCCAGTGACAGGACCAGAGTCAGGGCAAGGGCCAGAGCAGTGCAAGGCCAGGGTAGGGCCAGGCATTTCAGGGTCAGGGCCAGGGGAGAACCAGGGCAAGGTCTCAAGCAGGGAAGGGCCAGGGCCAGGACAGGTCCAGGGCAGGGCCATGACAGGGCCAGGGGCTGCGTTAGGGCAAGGGCAGGGCCACAGCAAGGTAAGGGTCAGGGCCAAGGCCAGGGTAGGGACAGGGCAAGAAATATGGCATGACCAGGGGCAATGCCAAGGCCAAGGTTGGGCCAGGGCTGACCCAGGACTGAGTCAGGGCAGGGCAGGGCAGGGCATGGTATGGCCAGTGCAGGACAGGACAAGAGCCGGTCCACAGAGAGAGCAGAGCTGATGCCAAGAAAGAGCCAGGCTAGTGCCGAGGCTGAGGCAGTGTCAGAGCATGTCCAGGGCAGGGCCAGGGCCAGGGCCAGAACCGAGCCAGGGCACAGCCAAGGCAGGGTAGGGAAGGGAAATAGCACGGCCGGGTCAGTACTGGGACAGGACAGAGCAGGGCAAGGAGATGGTAGCGGCAGGGCAGGGACAGGCCAATGCAGAGCCATGTTATGCCGGGGCCAGGACACCTCCAAGTCCACTTCAGGGCCAGGGCTATGGCAGGACAAAGACCACGGCCAGGATCAGGGCCAGGTCTGTGCTAGGGTCAGCTCCAGAGCAGGGTCTAGCGCAGGCTAGGGTGAGGGCCAAGGTAAGGCCAGGGCAGGGTCAAAGGCAGAGTAGGGCCAGGGCAGGGTGATGACACATCCAGAGCACAGCAGGGCAGGGTGATGGCAAGACCAGGGGCAGACCATTGCCAGCTCAGGGCCAGGGAAAGTCCAGTGCAGAGCCAGGAAAGGGTCTGGGTCTGGGTCAGGGCCAGGAACAAGGCAGAGCAGGGCCAGGGCCATGGCAGAGTCAGGGCAGGTCCTTGACAGGACCAGGTTCCAGGCCAGGGCCAGGGCAGCAGCAGGGGCAGGGCCTGGATAAGGGCAGGGCCAGGGATATGGCAGGACCAGGGCTAGGGCCAGGGCCAGGCCATAGTGAGGGCAGGGCAAAAGCCAAGGGCAGGGTCAGGGCAGGTCCAGGGCAGGTCCAGGGAGTGGCCAGCACCAAGCGGGGCCAAGTCACAACCAGCGCAGGGTAAGGCAGGGAATGGCACCACTGGGCCATGACAAGGCAAGGTCAGTGCCAGGAGAGGGCAGAACAGGCAGGCCCATGGTGGAGCCAGGGCAGGGATGGGCCAAAGCAGGGCCAGGACATGTCCAAGGCCAGGTCAGGGCCAGAACAGGAGCAGGACCATGACCATTGGCAGGGCCAGTGCCATGACACGACCAGGGTCAGGACAAGAGGCAGGGCCAGAGCCAGGGCCAGAGCCAAGGTCAGGCCAGTGCAGGTTCAGGGCAGGGCCAGTGCCAGGGCAAGACCAGGGCAGGGACAGGGTAGCACAGGGCCAAGACAGGGTCAGGATGGGACCAGAGCAGGACAGGGCCGAGAGTCCAAGTAACAGTAGGGCAGGTACAGGGCAAGGCAGGGCAGTACAGGGCCAGATCCACGGCAGGCGCAGGGCAAAGCCAGGCCCATTGCCAATGCACCAGCCCTCCCTACAAGGCTCCTACCACCTGGCCACTGCTGCAGCCCGTCCATCGCTCTAAGCCTGACCCCCAACCCTGGCTGCAGCCGCCTGCCCTCCTAGCGCAGCCGCTCTCCTACCGCTCTGGCGCACCGCAGTCTCTGTCACTGCCGCCCACCCGCAGCGAGGCGAGCCATGGTGTCGCAGGCTCTAGGTGTCTCCTCCTCCTCCTGGCACAGAGCAGCTGGGCGGGCAAAGCCAGAAAAGCCTAGGGAAAGATGTGAGGGGTGGAAGGGTTAGAGCCTCAACTTGTCATGCCGGCCACTGGGTGGCAGGGGCCAGTTTCAGCAAAGGCACTCACACCCACCCTCCAAAGTCCAGCCTCTCCTTTTGGCCCAAGCTGGGCAGGAACTGGGGTCTGGGGTGGGTGCTGGAGACACCACAGCATCCAGCTCCCCACTCCACAGGAACCCCTGGGCCCACTGGGGCTGCACTCCTCGGGGAGCAGGAGAAGCAGAAAAATTCAGACCCAGCCAGCCCTCCACACCCAGGTGCCAATTCCTGTTCCGGACGCCTCCACGCACAGGGCCCTGTCCCCCGTGGTGTCCCCAGGGGTGCCTGGCAGCCTCTGAGGCACAGACCCACAGTACACAGGCCCAGGAACCACGGTGGGTGTGGGGGCTCTGCCATGCTCAGGATTCCCACGCAAACACTGTGTGCCCTGCTGCACTCCAGTATGACCAAGAGTGGGTCGCCCTCTGGAGTGTGGAGTCAGGGAGAGGAGAACCACTCCTTCCTTGGATGCCAACTCTGTTGACCGACACCAGCAGTGCAGCCCCTGATAGCACCGAACTCGCCCCCGCTCCATGGCTAGTCCTGCCCTCAATAGCGCCCCCCACCTCCGTCCCCCAATGCCGCCAGTAGCGTATAACCGATAGTGCCCTAACCTGTCCTCCTCCATGGGCATTGCAGCCCCAGAGAGCACCCATAACCCACCCTCCCTGCCGTGGGCAGTGCAACCCTGTACAGTGCTACCAACCAGTACCCCTAATGCAGGCAATGACACCCTGGATAGCGCCCTCAACCCACCCCACACTGCGAAAGGTGCAGCCCTGGATAGCCCCTGTCCTACCACTCTGGTCGTCCTGCAGTCTCTGTCACCACCACCACCAACCACAGTGAGGCAAGCCAGTGGGCCACAGGCTCTAGGACCCAGCAGCCAGGCATGGAGCAGCTCTCGCTGATGGCCGGCTCCTACCACTCTGACCACGCTGCTGTCTGTCTCCGTGGCCATCTTCTTTCACTACAAAGGAATAAAACTAGGTATCAATAAGAAAAGCAATTTTGGAAACAATACAATCACATGGAAGTTAAACACTACCCTCCTGAATAAATGACTAGTGGGTCAATGAAGATACTAAGACAGAAATTCAAAAATTTCATGAAACAAAGGGTAATGAAAACACAGTATACCAAAACTTGTTATGCAGAAAGCAGTACAAAGGCAGAGATTTACAGCTATAAGTGCCTACCATCCAAACAAAAGAAAACCTTCAAATAAACAATACATCTTAAAGAACTAGTAAAGAACAAACTAAACTGAAAATAAGAAAATAAATAAGATCATAGCACAAACAAAATTGAAATAAAAAACAGACAAGATTAAACGAAAAGTTGGTTTTCTGGAAAGCTAAACAAAATTGACAAACTTTTAACCAGGCTAAGAAAAGAGACAAGATTCAAATAAATAAAATCAACAGATTAAAAAAAGGAGACATTACAACTAATACTTCAGAAATTCAAAGGATCATAACTGGCTACTATATGCCAATAAATTGGAAAGCCTAGTAGAAATTGGCAAATTCCTAGATGCATACAACCTACTTAGGTTAAACAATGAAAACATCCAAGACCAGAACAGATTGGTAACAAGTAATGAGATTGAAGCCATCAGAAAAAGTCTCCCAGTAAAGAAAAGCCCAGGAACTGATGTCTTCACTGCTGATGGCTTCACACCAAACAATTTAAAGACCTAGTACGAATCCTGCTCAAACTATTTTGAAAAACAGGAGGGAATACTTCCAAACTTATTCTATGAGACCATTATTACTGTGATACCAAAATCAGACAAAAGCATCAAAGAAGGAAACTACAGGCCAGGATCTCTAATATTGATGCAAAAATCCTCAACAAAATACCAGTGAATCAAATTCAGTAATACATTAAAAAGATAATTCATCATGATCAAGTGGGATGTATCCCTGGGACCCAAGGGTCACTCAACATACAATGTGATACATCATATCAACCAAATAAACGACAAAAACAGTATCATCACGTCAACTGAAACCGAAAAAGCATTTGATGAAATTCAACATCCCTTCATGCTATAAATCCTCAAAGAAACGGGCACAGAAGAAACATACCGCAACATAATAAAAACTACAGGAAAGACACCCACAGCTAGAATCATATGGAATGGGGAAAAATGGAAAGCTTTTCCTCTAAGATCTGGAACATAAGGATGCCCCCTGTCACCACTGTTGTTTAACATAGTACCAGAAATCCTAGCTAAAGCCATCAGTGCAGCCCCTGATATGGCCCCCAACCCACCCTGCCCCCTACCACCAGCAGTGTCACCCCCCCAATAGCACACCCAACATACCCAAACTGCCCCGCCTCCCCACACCATGGGCATTACAGCACCCCATAGCGCCCTCAACCCGAAACCGCCACCCCCCCGACAGCCGCACAGTGCAGCCCCGGATAGCACACTTAGCCCACCTCACTGTTGCCAGCAATACAGTCTGGGATAGTGCCCCCAACCGGCTCCCCACCAAAGGCAGTGCAGCCCCGGTTTGGCCCCCAAACCACCCCCCCCGCCCGGTGCAGGCAGCACAGCCCCAGATAGCACACCCAACCGGCCACCCAAGACGGGCAGTGACGCCTGAGATAGGGCTCCCAACCCGTCCCAGGCCACCCACAGTGCAGCCTGGATAGCGCACTTACCCCGACGCCTTTCTACGCTCTGGCTGGCTGCAGTGTCCATCGCTGCCACCAACCACAAACAGGGCTGCAAACAGGAAGGATTTTATTCACTGTCCATGCGGCCCCGAGTTGTCCCAAAGCGAGGCAGTGCCC
Organism: Homo sapiens; assembly: GCF_000001405.40. Lineage (NCBI taxonomy): Eukaryota > Metazoa > Chordata > Mammalia > Primates > Hominidae > Homo > Homo sapiens. The sequence continues at coordinate 104,602 of NT_187367.1, forward strand.
CCAAGGTCTGTGCAGAGCAGAACGCAGCTCCGCCCTCGCGGTGCCACCGGCCCGCCCGCCCGGGTCTCTGCTGAGGAGAACATTGCTCTGCCTTCGCTGTATCTCCGAAGTCTGTGCAGAGGAGAACTCAGCTCCGCCCTCGCAATGCTCTCCGGGTCTGTGCTGAGGAGAACGCAGCTCCGCCCTCGCAAAGGCACACAGCGCTGGCGCCGGCGTGGCGGAGAGGCAGACAGCGGCGGAGAGGCGGCCAGCGGCGGCGCGGCGGAGAGACGGACAGCGGCGGAGAGGCGGCCAGCGGCGGCGCGGCGGAGAGGCGGACAGCGGCGGAGAGGCGGCCAGCGGCGGCGCGGCGGAGAGGCGGACAGCGGCGGAGAGGCGGCCAGCGGCGGCGCGGCGGAGAGGCGGCCGGCGGCGGAGAGGCGGCCAGCGGCGGCGCGGCGGAGAGGCGGCGGCGGCGGAGAGGCGGAGAGGCGGACAGCGGCGGAGAGGCGGCCGGCGGCGGCGCGGCGGAGAGGCGGACAGCGGCGGAGAGGCGGCCGGCGGCGGCGCGGCGGAGAGGCGGACAGCGGCGGAGAGGCGGCCGGCGGCGGCGCGGCGGAGAGGCGGACAGCGGCGGAGAGGCGGCCGGCGGCGGCGCGGCGGAGAGGCGGACAGCGGCGGAGAGGCGGCCGGCGGCGGCGCGGCGGAGAGGCGGACAGCGGCGGAGAGGCGGCCGGCGGCGGCGCGGCGGAGAGGCGGACAGCGGCGGAGAGGCGGCCGGCGGCGGCGCGGCGGAGAGGCGGACAGCGGCGGAGAGGCGGCCGGCGGCGGCGCGGCGGAGAGGCGGACAGCGGCGGAGAGGCGGCCGGCGGCGGCGCGGCGGAGAGGCGGACAGCGGCGCAGAGGCGGCCGGCGGCGGCGCGGCGGAGAGGCGGACAGCGGCGGAGAGGCGGCCGGCGGCGGCGCGGCGGAGAGGCGCACAGCGGCGGAGAGGCGGCCGGCGTCGGAGAGGCGGAGAGGCGGACAGCGGCGGAGAGGCGGACAGCGGCGGAGAGGCGGCCAGCGGCGGCGCGGCGGAGAGGCGGACAGCGGCGGAGAGGCGGCCAGCGGCGGCGCGGCGGAGAGGCGGACAGCGGCGGAGAGGCGGCCAGCGGCGGCGCGGCGGAGAGGCGGACAGCGGCGGAGAGGCGGCCAGCGGCGGCGCGGCGGAGAGGCGGACAGCGGCGGAGAGGCGGACAGCGGCGGCGAGGCGCGCAGCGGCGGCGCAGGCGCGGAGAGGCGCTGGCGCCGGCTCTGGCGCGGAGAGGCGCAGGCCCAGGCTCCACTCCCCAGCTGTGAAAGGGTAAGAACCGAGGGTGGCTGAGACTCGGGGTTGTTCAGGGCGGGGTGGGCTCTGGACCCAGCAGGCCCGGCACCCAGGTCAGGGCTCCAGGGGAGGCCAGGTGGGCGAAGGCCAAGAAGGGGCTGGGGCTGGTCAGGAAGGGCTCCTGGTGACCAGAGCACTTTGCGTGAGCCAGCGTGGGAGGAAGGTGGGCTGGATGAGCCAGGGAGGCGCCGGGAGGGGCCTTGGCAGAGGCGACCCCCTCCGTCACCCCCAGGCCACTGAACCCTGGGTAGCGAGAACCGACAGGGGAGGCTGCAGACAGAGGAGTGGAGGCTCCCCGGCTTTGGGGGCTCTGAGTAGAAGCATCTAGGGGGTCCCTCAAGAGGCCCCCAAACGCTTCCCCATGGTGAGAAAAGAAGGTGCAGAGAGGGGCACGGCGCTGGTGCAGAGAGGGGCACGGCGCTGGTGCAGAGGGGCACACAGCGAGATTTGCTGTGAGTTCTTTTATTGCCCCAAGTGTACCTCATCTTGGTAGATTTCTATTGACTTTAAAAATGTGTGTGTTTTGCTGTTGGGGAGTGGGGTATTATACGGATGTCAGATTTTGCTGGTTGACTGTTCAGATCTTTTGTAAATCCTTGCTCCTTTTGTGCCTAGTTTCACTCTGTCACTTACACTAGAGTGCGGTGGCACGAACATGACTCACTGCAGCCTTGACTTCCTAGGGTCAAGTACTTCCCCTGGCTTAACCTCCTGAGTAGCTGGTACTATAGGTGTGTGCCGCCACACCTGGCTAAATTTAAAATTTTTTGGAGAGATGAGGCCTTGCTATGTTGCCCAGGCTCGAACTCCTGGCCTCAAGCTATCCTTTGTTTTTGCCTCCCACAGTTCTGGGATTACAGGCATGAGCCACTGTGCCCGGCCTCTGCCTAGTTTTAACAGTTGCTAAGAGGAGGATGTCGAAGTAGATGTCTTCTTGGTGGGTTAATCCTTTTGTCATTAAGCAGTTGTTATGGTCACTTCCTTTTCACCCCATTGGTGAAGGAGGGGTCCCTGCCCTAAAGTGTAGGAGATGGCTGAACACGACACCTGGCGTGGATGGATGCGATTGACAGCAGTGTTTTAGTCACATATACCCACAGCTCAGAGGAGGACACTGCATGCCACACAGGGTCAGATGGGCACCGCACTCTGTAGTGGAGTGAGGGCTGCGGGCTGAGGAAGCAGGGAGGCTTGGTAGTAACAAGAGCACACGATGACCAATGGTTCCCGAGGGGGAATGCAATTGGCTTGTTTGAATAAATTCATGGGCTGGCAGACAGGTGAAGTGAAACTTCTTAGGCTGAGGTGCAACTGTTCTGGCTGATAAAAGAACTAGCCAGGTGGGGAGCCTTTCCTGTTGGGTGGCGGGGTAGGGGGTGTCTGGTAGAAACAGGAAAACCCACGGCTAGGTCTTTGGGGCCCTGTGAGGCTCAAACATGTCAAGGCAGCATAGGAAATTTTAGATCTTAAAATTCAGCGAAGACCCTCTCCAGCTCTGGTAAATTATTTTGCTTGAAGTCTACTTCATGAGATATTAATATATTCACTCCTGCTTCCTTAAAAAATTAATGATTTCACAGGATATCTTTCTCCATTCTTTTACTTTCAACCTACTTAGGTCCTTAAGTGAGTTTGAAGTTTCTTATGAACAGTATTTAGTTGGGCCATGTGTTTATTATAGGCTCTCCATCAATCTGTCTTTTGGTTTATTTAGATCATTTACATTTAAGGTGCTTATTGTTACATAATTGCTTATGTCTGATGTTTTTATTATTTGCTTTTTTGTTTCCTTTTTCTTTCCCTCCATCTTGATCTATTTCTGTATAATGTTGCGTGTATCTCTTTGTATAGTCTTAAAGTGTTTGCTCTGGATGTTACAATATGTGTATTGTAATATAGTAGTCTACTGGTACCAGTATTTACCACTTCAAAGTGTGGAAACCTGCCTTGCATTTATGTCTCTTTACCTTTTCCACTTGTATAAATCACTGGCTTGAGTATTAGGTGGTGGTATAGTTTTTGTTTCAGTCGTCAAATGTGATTTTAAGAACTGTGGATTGTCTCGCAAATGTATCCACATTTCTCGTCTTTCCTTTGTCCCTCCTCCCATAGTCCCATATTCATCCCTTCTGCATAAGAACTTTCTATAGCCATTTTTTTATTTTGATTTTTTTGTTTTAATTTTTTATATTGTGGAAATGACAGAACATATTTCTGTAGCCACTTTTTAGCATTTCTAAATTGACCAGTGACAAATTCCTATATTCTCTTCCTCTGAGAATGTCTTTATTTCTCTCTTCATTTCTGAAGGGTAGTTTCATGGGATATAGAATTTGCCTTTCATGTATTCAGAGGTTTTCAGTATTCGTATAATCAAACCTGATAGTTTTCCTTTTGGTTTTGAGGTTGTGTCTTGTTTGGGTGAGTCTCCTACCCCTTTGACTACAGAAATGCCCTTTCATTTTAAATATCCTCCTATTATGAAACACATTTCCACATTTTCTAAATTTTTAATTTTTAGCTGAGAAATAAATTAGTAATTATTTAAGTATTAATTACTTTTATCTTGCTATTAATTATTGGTTTTATTTATTTACATGTAGTTGGCTTACATTTAGTTTAGTTTAACTTAATTACTTTAAAGTAATGTATAACTATCTGCAGTTTGTACCTCATGTTCTCACTCATAAGTGGGAGCTGAACAATGAGAACACGTAGACACAGGGAGGGGAACATCACACACCAGGTTCTATCCAGGGGTTGGAGGCAAGGGAAAGGAGAGCATTATGACAAATACCTAATGCATGCAGGGCTTAAAACCTAGATGACAAATTGATAGGTGCAGCAAACCACCATGGCACATGTATACCTATGTAATAAACCTACATGTTCTGAACATGTATCCCAGAACTTAAAGTAAAATTAAAAAAAAATAATTAATTAAAAATATATATCTTCAGTTTGTAAACGTCCCGACAACACAGGAACAGAGTTAAAAGAGTGTGTGTCGTCCTTAGCTGCTCCCACCCCATCGTCTCCTCCCTAGCCAACCCAGCCGCCAGTCTGGCGTGCGCCTTCAAGGTTTCTTCCTAGACACTGGCAAACATAGATCACTATTTTCTGCCACATGGTATCTTCTAAACACACACGATTGTTTTGTGCAGAAACTTTCTATTTTTACCTCTCATAAGTGTCCTGTGGATTCTTTCCATGTCACTGTGGTGTGTGTGCGTGTGTGAGATTCAAGTTCAGCTTGCTAATCTTGTAGAAAGAATTACACTCCACTTCCCCTGTGCTCTGGCCCTCCCTAACACAGCAGCCCATCCCTGGAGGCTGATGGAGCCCCTCGAGCACCTGCTTACCATTTCTGTTTGTTCTGTTTATTCAGGTTTTCTGCCTCCTGCTAAGCCAATTTATACATTCCAAGAAAATCTTCCATTTCATCCAGGTGAAACAGAACCTACTGGAATGAAGCTGGCCTCCCATGGAATGAAGCTAGCCTCCCGTCTCCTTGATTTGAAGCAGCTTCTCCACGTTGGTTATTATGCCATTTTTCTAAATCTAACATTTTAAAATTTGTGCCTTTTCTTTCTCTTTTGCTTGACTTCTCAGAGGTTTTTTTAATGGTCTTTTCAAAGAAGTGGTTTTGGGTTTTATTTATCAAGTCTACTTTTATTATGGCTGTTTTAAAATTAAATACATTTATTTCTTGTTTCCCTTAAAAAAGCTTCTTGTATGTTTACTTAGTTTATATAATTTTATATGTCTTCTGTTGAAGCATATTAACAAACACTTCCAGCTATAACGTTTCCCCTGAGAACTGCTTTGGACACATCCAGAGATTTTGATAGGTCACACACTTATTGTAGTTTGTTTCTGAAAAGTTTTTCATTTTAGTTTTTATTTTCTCTTTTACTCAAATTATCATCAGCTTTCTCCTTTTATCCTGTTTCTGACAAATTAATCTGAGGATATAAATTTCTCCCTAAATGTCAATTTTGTTGAGTTTCATAATTTTAATATGTAATACCCTATTGCTATTGAGTTCCAGGCATTTTATAATTTTCATTGTGAAAACTAACTTTGTTTCCAAAACACACTTTTTCTTCTTTTTTGAGACAGAGTTTCACTCTGTCGCTCAGGCTGGAGTGCAGTAACACAATCTCATCTCACTGCAACCTCTGCCTCCTAAGTTTAGGTGATTTTGTTGCCTCAGCCTCCCTAGTAGCCGGGTTTACAGGCTTTTGCCACTATGCCTGGCTAATTTTTTGTATTTTTAGTAGAGACAGGGTTTCGTCATGTTGCCCAGGCTGGTCTCGATCTCCTGACCTGGGGTGATCCACCCGCTTCAGCCTCTCAAAGTGCTGCGATTACAGGCATGAGCCACCATGCCCGGCCCCAAAATGCACTTTTAACATGGTCTTTGTTATTGCATGTTTCTAATTTTGTTGCACCCTGGTGAGAGAATGTGATTTGTGTAACAGCAATTCTTGGGAAAGGGGCTGAGGCTTCCTGCTCCTTTAGCACAGCTAAATTTTCCCAAACGCCATCCATGAGCTTGGAAAGAGCATTGTACTCTGTTGGGATGGGCTCAAATCTCTCTGTAAAAATGAGTGTTCTTCTGTTGTTGTTGTTCTGTTTTTTGTTTGTTTTGTTTTGTTTGTTTTTTGTCTCAGTCGTTTTGTTTGCTCAGATCTTTTGATGATCCAGATGATCTTTTAATTTATGCAGGATGTTTCTCTGCTTGTGCAGGCTGGTGGGATTGGGGACTGGAGAGAGGATAAGTGTCTGCTTGCCCAGGACTGGCAAACTGTCACTTGCCCTGGTTGTGCCTTGCCAGGAGCTCCCGTGCCTGTCTCTGAGAGTGTCATGAGCACAGCGGTGGTAGTTGTGTGGTGGATGCATTTCCCCTGGGTTGGGGGGTGGGTGGCTGGTCCTAGCTCTGTTTGTTGTTGCCGATGAGACACAGCACACTTCTGCTTCCTGATGGATCTTGTTGGTCATTTGACTTCTTCCTGGTCTGGGCTCCTGAGCTGGCCCTCCGCAGGCCAAGCAGGAATGGAGCTGGCTGCTACAAGAGTTCCTTCACTAGAGGGCATCTCTCCTCTCTCCTCCCACACATGGGAACACAAGGGTGGGCTTTCCTCCGCCCACTGTGATCCGCAGCCCGGCTTTCCCCTCCTCACCCTCTGCTCTCAGACAGACTTGGTTTTCGCTGGTGTCTGTGAGAGGTGATTCTTCATGGTGCCAAGAATGTGGATTTTTTTGAGAGCAGGCACTCTCACAGATATTTGCACACCCATGTTCAAAGCAGCGTGATTCACAAGAGTCAAAAGGTAGAAGCATTCTGAGGGTCTATGGGTGAGTGGATGGGCAAGCGAAATGTGGTTATGCATACAGTAGACTGTTACTGAACCTTTACCAGGAAGGAGATTCTTTTTTTTCTTTCTTTTTGTGGAAAATGCAGTCTCGCTATATTGCCCAGGCAGGTCTCGAACTCCTGGGTTCAAGCTATCTTCCTACCTCTGCCTCCCTAACAGCTAGGATAATAGGCGTGAGCCTATAATATCACCCAGCCAGGAGGGAAATTCTGAGAGGTGTGCCAACACACATGAACCTTGAGGACATTGTGCTAGATGGAATAAGCCAGCCACAAAAGGACAAATACATTGCGATTTCACTTACATGAGGGGCCCAGAATGGGCAAATTCAAATACAGAAAGAGCAATGGTTAACAAAAGGAGGGAGTTGGTGTTCAATGGGTATGGTTTCCTTTTGGGAAGATGAAGACGTTCTGGAGATGGACGGTGGTAGGGGATATGCGACAATGTGAGTGCACTTAATGCCAGTTATAACACGGGGAGCGCGTGTGCACATGGCTCTGGGAGTTCTCGTGCAGCACTCAGAGCTCAGCGTGGGCGAGGGCGTCACCCCTCTGGGGGCGTCCATGGGGCCTTGGAGAAGGGAGGCTTCAGGGCACCAGAGCAGTCTACCGGGAGAGGCCGGGCCGAGCGCTTGTTCACCCCCAGCCCTCTTAGGGAACTTTCACATGCTTCTCCCACTAGGCCTAGGCACCCCTCCCTACCCTCCCTACCCTCCTGGTTCCCTGACCCTCAGTGACTGTGTCCTTCAAGACTGAACTCCAGAGTCCCCACCCGAGGACCCGCAGTGCCCAGCCCCCGCGAGCTCGCGGGGTGTATGCCCACCCCGAGGCTCCACCGCGCCTGTGTGCTGGGAAGCCTGGCTCCATGGGACCCTCGGGCTCTGGGCGCGCTGTCGCTGCAGCTGCCAGCAGCTCCTGAGGAAGTGGCTCGAGGCCCTGGGGCGGGCCAGGCGTGCGGTGGGCCCGCAGCCCTCACACCGGCCCCGGCCGCACACAGGAGGCACAATCAGCAGAGACGTTGGACAGGGTTGGACACTGGCTGTCTCTTTCGGGCCTCAGTTTTCACGTCTGAAATAAAAGCGAGCATCCTGGCCCTGGCGCCATGCCTCTGCCGCGGTAGAGGTTTCCACCCCTATGAGCCCAGTGCGCCTTCCAGGCTCGAGGGAGAGGGAGTGTGCGTGCGTGTGAACGCGTCACACTCTTGTGTGAACGCGTCATACGCTTGTGAAAGACTGTGCGTGTGCACACGCGTGTACGTGCATGTGAACGCATCAGGGTGCCCGAGGATGCACACATGCACGTGTGAGTGTGCGCGAGTGCGTGCTCAGAGGACAGCTCTCAGCAGGCTGGGGACCTCCTTCCTCTCACCCCTGAGGGTTTTGGGGGACCAGCCCCCGTCTCCGGGTGCTATGGGATGCCCTGGGGCGAGCTCCCACCGCTGTGCTCGGGCTCCGGCTTTGTGGGGACCCGGCCTTCCCCGCCCGCACCACGGGGAGTTCCACGCAGCACCCACGAGGTGGCGCCGCAGACTCGCTATCGCGGAGCGTGGCGGCTCCCAGCAGCCTTGCCTACAGCTGTGTCCAGGGCGATCCCTCTCAGGCCCAGGCCGCTGCTGCCAGGAAGAGCAGGAACAATAGCCAGTCACGCCTGGTGATGCCCCTGAAGTGCTTATGCTCCCAGGCATGGGCTGTCCACAACGTGCATTCTCTCCTTTTATGCCCCTACTATTTGGAACGCTGTATTTTTTCATTTTTATTTTTATTTTTTGTTGTAAATCTGCCACTTAAAAATACCCAGGGTGGAGCTAAAAGTACAGACACTGCTCAACTTACCCCTGGCTGCGGCCCAATAAGGCCGCTGCGAGTGGAAAATGACTGAGTCCACCTGACTACCGAATAGCACAGCGTGGGGGGGCCCACCTTGGCCTGCTGAGAACACTGCCCTGAGCCTGCGGTGGGCAGAAGCATCAACACGAAGCCTGTTTTGTAGTCAAGTGTCGGATACCTCATGTAATCATTGACTGCTGTACTGAAAGTGAAAAACTGGCCGTGTGGGACTCACACGAGGGTTTCTGCTGACTGTGGATGGCTTTTGCATCACTATAAAGTTGAAAACTGTTAAGTGGAACTGCGGTAAGTCGGGGCTGTGTGCGCTAGAGACCTGAGTTCTGCCGCTCCATAGCTGTGTGACTTTGGACACATACTTGAGCCTGAGTGTCTTCTACACAAAATGGATTTCTTAGCATAACCTACACATGTGTACGTGCCCGTGAGCGTGCACGTGTGTGTTTGCATGAACACATCTGTGTATGCACGAATGTGTGCACATTTGTGTGTGTCTGTGTAAGTCCGTATGTACATTTGTGTGCATGTCTGTGCATATGTTTGTATGTGTGTGTGCTATGCATGTGTGTGTGAAGGCCCTGGGGTGGAGCTGAGGAGTTGAGGGGAGATGCTGGGAGGGCAGCCAGCACCAGGCGTTTGTTGGCCAGGAGAGAAGCTGCCATCCAGGTGCACTCTGGAGCTCGTGCTTCAGTGGCACAAGGCTTTGGGAGTGAGGAAGCTGGGGGCTGGGGCAGGGCAGTCCTGCACCTCAGGGGAGGTGCAGAGTGAGGCCAGGAGGATGGAAAGAGTGCCAGAGAATGGGGGAAATCTGAGGCATCAGGAAAGGAAGACACAGGCCATGGAGAGGGCAGCTGGGCCCTGGGTGAGGCCGGCCCTCAGGAAGGAGGTGCCACAGGCAGGGGAGTGCCCAGATGGAGAGCCCAGGGGTATGGACCCACGGGTGTATGACAGTGGGGGTACTCCTGAAACAGAGCAGTGTTATCCAACAAGCAGGGTTGGGACAACTAGTTATTTCATTTAAAAAAACAGGTCAATGTCAGTCCTCATACTGTGCTTTAAAATAAGCTCCAGATGGACTCATGTTTTACATGTAAAGAAAAGAAGGCAAAAAGAAAATAAAGAAAAGGCTTGTAAGCAGGTAGTTAATTGGAGGCAATCCCAGGATGCAGGAGAGAGGGGATGGAGCCACAGCAGGTCTGGGGAAGGGAGAGAAGCCGGCCCCGAGACCGCAGCCCGAGGACCCATTCAGGCCAGCAGTGCCTTCTGTGCACTTCCACAAGGTCACACGTTCTTCCAAAGTTGCCATCATGGAGAGATAGGCTTCCATGTAGTCTTGACTCCACTGGATTTCAGTCCTTAGGTGACTTTTCCTGTGATCACACTCAGCCCTGATACAGTCATTGCTGGGGCCTCCCCTGGCTGGACGTTCCGCTTTTGGTTCACATTCTTTCCTCCTGCCCCGAGACTGGCCATGGGCCTCCCAAAGGCTAGCTGGGAGGACCTCCCTTCCACGGCTGTGCTCTTGCTCTGCCCATGCTGTCGCCTCCATCTCCACCTCCCTCTCCATCCTCACCACCAGCCCTCGAGTCAGTGGGGAGCTTTCCACTCACCAAGCCCAGGCAAGTGCATCGCGTGAATTTCTCTTGCGCCTCCCACTAGAGGTAGAGGCGCTGTTGTCACCCTATCTGCTGAGGATATGCTGGGGCTGGCAGGGGCCACCCAAGACCAAGGGTGTCACTGTCTCCATCCTGTGCCCACCCAGTCCTGCCCCCTGGGCTCCCTTCAAATCTTTTTTTTTTTTTTTTTTTTTGAGACAGAGTCCTGCTCTGTCTCCCAGGCTGCAGTGCAGTGGTACAATCTCAGCTCACTGCAATCTCTGCCTCCTGGGTTCAAGCGATTCTCCTGCCTCAGCCTCCCAAACTGCTGGGACTACAGGCACCCACCACCACACCCGGCTAATTTTTTATTTTTATTTTTGTATTTTTAGTAGAGATGAGGTTTCACTATGTTGGCCAGGCTGGTCTTGAACTCCTGACCTCGTGATCCCCCTGCTGCAGCCTCCCAAAGTGCTAGGATTACAGGCGTGAGCCACCACACCTGGCCCCCTTCAAATCTTAACAGAGAAGCCACCAAAGTCTCCTTGGGTCCATCACATGGATGGGCCTCCTGGGCCCCTCAGACCCTGGGCTTCCCTTGAGGTCCTGGAGCTATGTGGGCTCCAGCTCTGGGAAGGTGGACCCCCATGCATGTGTCCTGCCGTCACTGTCTCTATGGAGTCTGGCTCACACTAAGTGAGCCATAAGGCCTTCTTCAAGGTCATCTGTCCCACTGATTTCAGACTCAGGGCGGAGTGTGAAATCATCTGTCCCCCACAGTGCACTCAGAACCCTGTCTGGACTAGGGCACACACACATGCATGCGCATATGAACACACATATGCATATGCACGCACACATGCAAGGCTGCAAGTCTCATGCACACACACATGCACACACATGCACATGCATGCTCACATGCACAGGCACTCAGGCACCTAGAGCCTTCTCATCCTGCACTTTGAGTCCCCCCTCCCCTTGCCCATCCTTGCCCATCCTTCAAGGCCTCAGTCAAAAGCCATCTTTTACAAATTGTCTCTGGTTGACTTTCCTTTTTTTCCCTCTTAGAAGAAGCGATGCTGTCCTCAGTCATCAAGCGTTCACTAGGCGCTTGGTGTGTGCCAGGCCCCGATGTGGGTCTTGGGCATGTTCCAGTTCTCACGTCCTCAGGGCTCCTTGGTGAGTCGAGGGTGAGGAGGACACAGAGGCACAGGAGGCCATGGGGCAGGTCTGGGTGCACTCAGGCTCCAGAGCTCAGCCCTCCCTGCTGAGTCAGGGCGAGCAGGATACACGCCTGCTCCTGGAACTCAGTGGGTGAGGTGGACACGCATGCAGGGAGGTACCAGCCTCAGGGGCTGTGGAACAGAGAAAGGGAGCTTCCAGGACATCAAACAATTCCTGGAGTGCCAGGGCAAGAGGGGAATCTGGGTGGAGGAAAGTGTGAACAGGGCAGAGGTTGGAGGTGGTTGTGGCCCCCGAGCATGTCGGAGGCGACTGAGCTGCTCCTTGACTTTGGGCATCTTTGTTCGTCTCTGCATTTGCACATTTGTTGAACAAACCTACTGAGACACTTGTTTTCTTTCCATGGTCCATACATTAGGAATATAGAGTTAGCTTCCTGGGGAACATTTTAAGACGTATTCTTAGAGAAGAAACCAGGAAGGCATCCTTGTGGGACGTTGGTCCAGGATCTTGGGTGTGTCCTTTGGTCTTTTGTGGGTCAGGTTAGCAGGAATTGTGTCCTGAGGTGTTGGAACTGCAAAGTGCAGGTTCCCTCCTGCCCGCACTGATGCCTTCAGGGAATGGCCTGTCCGCTTTTCTAAGAAGAACACTTAACTCAGCCTTGGCTGACTTCAGCTACCTGTGCTTTCTCCAGCCAGGCTCTGTGTTTTGTGCTTTTACTCTCAAAACAACCCTATTATTATCCGTGTCCCACAGATGAGGATGCTGAGCCCCTGAGAGGCTCAGTAGGTGCCTGAAGGCATTCCAGCCAAGAGGTGGCAGAGCCAGGGCCAGCCTGGCCTGAGGACTCTGAAGCTCCCACAGGCACAGCTCCTTCATGCCAGCTCTGTGTCAGGATTTTCTGTGGTCATCACAGCCATCTTCCTGGTCGGCTAAGTTACAGACAGGGTGGAACTAGGATGGCCAAGCTGGAAGCAGAGCTCATTCCTGAGCAGGGCACCCGGGCCCTGCCTACGGTGCTGGGCAGGCTTCTGGTGTGGAGGGTGGGCTCAGATCCTGCTGTCCCTGTGGCTGTGGGAGGCTTTTCTAGGCACCCTCCTGACTGCTAACACCAGGAGGGCCTATGATATGGGACCGCTGCCCCATGACGTGTGCCAGGTTTCTGCACGCGACTGCTGGGAAAGGCTGGCCCTGGGCTGGGTGGACCCGCACTGCCTGCTGGCCCCTGCACCCAGATGGTGCAGCCCACACCCCTCTGATGTCCACCCATGCTCGGCTCTGGGACTTCCCTCCTTCCACCGTGTCTGACCCTGGTTGCCCTTGTTCTGCCACTGGCTTGTAGCAGCCCTTCCTGAAGCCACGTCCTCCAGGGAGATTTGATTATGTCCTGGTGTTGCAACCTCGCTAATGCAATCAGGAAGTTTTCTCAAGACTTCAGCTGCTTTGTTGGCAGCCAGGCCTGACTCTCAGCAGCTCTGCAGGCTGGAAGGGCCCAAGAGACCCCTCACCCACCTGGTGTCTCCAGCAGTGGGGAGGGCTCCGGGGCATAGCCTATTGCTGCTCTGCTCTCCTCCTTTCTTTGGGTAAGCTCCTTTGCTCTGATTTTATCTGGAATCATCGAGAGCCTCTATCTGTCTAGAAAAAGCACTTAGCAATGAGGAATCAGCACTGCGGAGAATACTCCAGAAAGCAGCCATTTTCCATCAAGATTAGGCTCTTAATTGAAAATTTTAAGAGGAGAGGAAATTAGGGGAGAATCCAGATATTCTCTCCATTATGGTAATTGGCTGTAATCAGAGCCCAAGAGCTGTGTTCAATCCTGGGGGTTCTTCCAGGATTACCAGAGCTGTCATAGTCACCTTCACTGACCTGCACTGGAGTCAGTGGGAGGGGCTGGCGGGGTCCGGGGCTGCTCTGGCAAGTGGATCCAGGAGGGCTGGGCTGGATCCAGGGGGCTGAGTTCAGAGGGGACTCTGCTTAGCAAGTGTGAAACACACGACAGGGCCTTCCAGGCAGAGGGAAGATTGAGAACTGCGGCCGAGCGAGTGCGTCCAGGGGCCCGAGTTTAGTTGAGGGCCTAAGTTTTCCCAGCAGGGCAAGGTTGAGGGTGAGGATGCTGCAGGCCAGTTTTCTATGGCCTCAGAATGAGGACAAGAAGGGGGAGATGGGCCACAGGGATGAGGGTGCCTGCTCCCTGCAGCAGTGTGCACACCACGGCTGTGCAGAGGCAGCAGGTGGCAGGTATTGGGAAGAAGCCCTTCCCTTGTGTGTCCTAGGGGCTGGGCACAGCCTGATGGGCCCCCTTTGCTCACAGTTGCAGAAGCCCATCCATGTAGGGTCCTGCTGAACTGGCTTCCATGGGGCTGGGAAGGACTGGCCTGGCCTCTTTGCTCACTTCACCTTATGGGCAGTGTCCTGCAGGTTTCTGTGAGCAGAGCAGACAGAAAGGAGATGCCCAGTGACGTCAGCTGTCCCCCACAGAGCTTCCTGGAGCCTGGGCTCCAGGCTGAGGGTCCTTGGACAGACGTCATCTCCCTGGCTTCAGCAGAATCACCCACAAACCCACCCTGTGCCCACCCTCCCATCACAGAGAGCAGCTGCTGGAGAAGGCAGCATGAGACTTTGAAGACCTCGAGGAGCAGGAGACACAGGAGACAATGGCCAGGATGGTCATGGTGGCGCGGCTATGCCATCACTGATTTCTGCCTACCTGCCCCCTAAGTCTCACTTGCTACTACTCTCAATTTCCTACTTAATGCTTCGGAGAGCACCAGTCCTGAGATGAGAGGCGGGATGTTCACTCTCTGGGAGTTGAGATGGAACCCAGGCAGTTAGAAAAAAGTGCCACAGCCACGTGCCGAGCCTACTACTTGTCAGGAGCTCAGTGAGTCACCCAATTCCTAAAACAACTGTGCTGCATGTGCTCCACCGCGCCTGGGCGACTCGGGGAAATGGGCTGCGGGAGGCTTAGTGACCTGCCCTGGGTGACACGGATGGCATGGATGCCCTGTCCGTGCACGGGGCTGTGCTAGGAGAGGACAGGATCATCCCCAGAAGCTGGTCCTGTGTCCACTGCTCACGGTGGCAGCTGCTTGGGCTGACAACGCCCCCCACCTCCTGATCAGATAGTGATATACTTGGTCCAAACTTCGAAAGTAAAAAAGTTAAAACAGAAAAATAGTCTCCTGGTCATTCATGCTCTCTGGTTCCCTTTTCATTAGTATCTCTTTCTCCTTCTATTTATGGATCTAGTTATTTAAAGCACAGATGGTGACATTCTGTACATATTCTGCATTTTGCTTTTTAAGTCTATTTTATTATGACGTACAATACATATAGAAAAGTGGAAAAAACTGAAATGAATGAATTTTCATGAAGTGAGCATTGGTGTAAACTGAGCCAGTACATTGGGAACCCCCTTCATTCTCCCTCCCAGTTACTGCACCATCCCTCCTGCCACAGGTAAATACTGCCCTGACCTTCATGGTAACTACTTGCTTTGCTTCCATTAGATATTCTATTTTTGTTTCAGCTGTGCTTTTGAACTTTATAGAAATGGATTCATACAGGGTGTATTCCTTCACATTGAGCTGGCTGTGTGCAGCATTGTGTGCAGTTGTTTCATATTGTAGCCGGGAACAGTGACTCATCTTCATTGCTCTTTAGCATTCCATTGTTTAATTGAATCCCAGTTTTCTTTTCCACTGTTGGTTGTGTTTAGATTTTTTTCAGTTTGGGGTTACTATGAAGGATGCTATAAAGAGCATTCTTGTACATGGCTCTTGTAGCACAGTGAACACATTTCTGTTGGGTGTAGAGATGTACGTATATGTGTGTGTGTGTGTGTGTGTATATATATATATATATATATATATATATACACCCCAAGGGGTAAAATTGTTGGATGTACATACCTTTGACTTCAGTAAATCATGCCAAACTGCTTTCCAAAGTGGTTGTTCATCTTTTTTTCCTTTTGTTTTTCAGTGGATCCTTATAGTTTGGGATTCTTCCATAATGGTACATATAGATGTGTCTCATTTTTTTAAACAGTTGCATAGTTTTCACAGCATGGACATAACATGATTTATTTAACCTGTCTTCTGTTGTTGGACTTCGTTATATTTATACTCAAACAATGCCACAATGAATAACCTTCTTCATAAGTTAATTAAATACTCGATGAAAAATACAGGTTTTTTTTCAGTTTATAAAAGTAATACTTGCTCACTGAGGAAAAAAAATCTGTAAATTACAGAAAAACACAAAGGAAATATATCCTCTGATCCAACCAGAAAGAAAACTACTTTTCCTATGTTGTGCGTAGCGCTCTAGTTTTTTCTTTCTTTATATCAATTGGATTTTTTTTTTTTTTTTTTTTTTTTTTTGGAGACAGGGTCTCACTGTGTCACCCAGGCCGGAGTGCAGTGGCATGATCACAGCTCACTGAAGCCTCGACTTCCCAGGCTTAAGTGATCCTCCTACCTCACTCAGCCTCCCGAGTAGTTGGGACCACAGGCATGTGCCACCACATCTGGCTATTTTTAATATTTTTTGTATAGATGGGGTTTCGCCATGCTGCTCAGGCAGGTCTCAAACTCCTGGCCTCAAGCCATCTGCTTGTGTTGGCCTCCCAAAGTGCTGGATTACAGGCATGCACCACCACCCCCGGCCTAATTGAATTTTTATTTTGGAAGAACCATATACCTTTATACATATTCTTTCTATGACTTATTTTCTGTAGTTGAAGTTCAAGGGTGTTTGACAGTGTGATGTGGTTATTGTTAACCTGTATGTGGGGGCATACAGATATGTTTTTTTACTTTTTCCCATAAGGCTAAGATCATCTCCAGAAATATTAATTTTTTAGACAGTGTGATTATAGTTATTTAATACTCATACTTATCAAAATATTGTATGTTAAAACCAATAACCATCTGAACTTATTTGAATATAGTTTTTCCTATTCTGTTCTTAGAAATTTCAGTCATTAACAATCTTTACACTTAGAAAGTGTTTTAATTTTACTTTGATGACAGGAATAGTGTTCTTCTCAATGAAATATATAATAGCAGCTTATAAGTGATAACTGTTTTCATTCTGTTTTTAAGAGAAAATACTTTGGTCTTTTTTACCATAGTTTAGTGTGTGATGTCATAAAAATGGGCTGTAGCCATTTAAATTCTTGTTCAAGTGCAGAAACTAAGAGACTGCAGTTTCTATTAAGCCATGTCAACTCCTATTAGGAGACCTTTAGTGGTTCCAGTTCCAGGGCCTTCTTGAAGAAATTGTGATACTTGTGTAAGTATATCTAGAGTTTTCTTTCCAGCATTGGCTAAGTCACATAGCTGAGAAATATGATACATGGAGAAGGTTGCTGACTGGATGAACTTTTCTACATTGAATACTTTAAATCTGGATTCTAGAATAAAATATATTGATGCATATTTGAGTTGTCAACTGTTTATGTCTTGTTCTTTTCAGCTTCAACATTGCTTTATGGCATGTGTGGTCGTTTTTCACTCCATTGTTGTTGTTTACCCAGTTTATGGGGGTTATAATGTTTATCACACTCCTTGGATGATTTCCGAAGGTAAGATATCTGGAATGGTTTTTCTAAAAATGAACTCATTTGAAAAATGTCTTTTATGACAATTTTCAGTGGATGGAGCTGTAACAGACTATTTGTGAATTATTTTCAGTCATGTTTACACCAGAGTTGTCCACACTAGAATTATCCATTCGTTGAACTCTGAGATAGACTCCTTTTTTTTTGAGACAGTGTCTCACTCTGTTGTCCAGGCTGGAGTACAGTGGCATGATCACCGCTCACTGCAGCCTTGATCACCTGGGGGCTCAAGCGATCCTCCCACCTTAGCTTCCCAAGGAGCTGGTATTACAAACATGTGCTACCACGCTTGGCTAATTTTTAAAATTTTTTTTGTAGAAACAGAGTCTCCTTATTTTGCCCAGGCTGGCAGGGGTTGGGGGCTGAGACTCTTTCTTTTGTAAAAGTTGGTTCTAAGTGACTACTTTTTAGAGAAGGTACCCTGCCTTTCAAAGACCTCATAAAGACAGGATTTGTACCTTCCAATATAGTTAAATTCACACATTAGACCATTTTATGTTGAAATTATATTAATTTGTGTCAGCTTATATTCAATGACTGTTGGCTAGATCATTCTTAAGAAATGGGAATACAGGAAGAATGGACAATTTTACCCAACTGGGAAAAAAAATTCTACCATCTTCTAATTATTCTGACTTCCTCATAAAAATGTGTTGGATGACACAATCAGCTTTTGTTTGGTGTTATTTATAGAATTTCTGCCTCCCTACAGATCACCCCATCCTGAGATCTGCTGCCTTACACAGTGGAGGCTGTTTTCTGAGTGTCGGATAACTCTGTTATTAAATAAGTGCATATTGAGAATACTCACTCCAGATGCTTAGAGGCATGTTGAGAAGGACAAAGATAGTGCCTCCTGTCAGGTCACTTACATCAGAACTTGCAGGAAACCTGCTTTATACAGCAGTTGACAGGTGTGGAAATTGAAGCTCATGGAAATGAAAGTTAATACACTAAATTTTCAAGGAGTTAATGAAAACTGACATTTCTGCTAAAAACAGCATGTTCTCCCTGTGGGATTTTAAAGGAAGGTCAATGGTAACTGTACAAAGAAGAAATGGACACAGTCTCATTGTTAGCAGTCTGAAAATAGTTGCTAGCACCTCCATGCCCACGCCAATGTCTCCAGCCTCTTTCAGGCACCTTGCTGTGTCTTGGAACCACTGGGAGCCCTCACAGGAGGCCCTTCGTTCCTGTATGCATGTGGTGCCACAAGCTGCTTTGGGCCCGGAGGAATCCTACACATCTCAGAACACTTCCTCACCTGACCCTGTCACCCATCTCTCCCCTTCTCATGTGCTCAGCCCCTTCTTTGACTCTTGAATTTTGAGTTTTTACAGATGTTTGGGAGCTCTTACCCTGACATGAATTTACAATTGTAATGGAGACTCAGACAACGTTGTAGATCACAGAGTGAACTATGCTTTTTAGTGTTAAATGCAATAGCTTAAGATAGAATGTTTTACTTGTTACATAAATGCTGGTTTTCTTTCAGATTTAAGGATATATACTTTTTTTTTTTAAGAGATAGGGTCTTCTATGTTGCCCAGGCTGGCTTTGAACTCCTGGGATCAAGTGATCCTCCTGCCTCAGCCTTCAAAGTAGTTGGGACTACAGGCCCACGCCACCGTGCATGGCTGGACACGTAAATTTGAAGTGAATGGTTAAACATCCAGCTAGCTGAAAGCATGACAGACCCTAACAGAAAAGCTACAGTGTGTTTTTGCAGCTATGAAGTGAATGGTTTCCTGGGGAAAATTGTGACTTTGTATAACTATTTTTGAAACCAGAATAAATTATATTTCACTTGCATATTCTTAAATTATTAAAATTTTCAGAAGTCAGTGATACAGAAATACTATTTTGCAATGTTAATCTGTTTGAGTCTTTGGAGAAAGTGGTTTCATTATAGGTACATGATGCACTCTTAATATTTTAAACAAATAGTTCACTCTTCCATTTAAGGGATAGCAGTTCCTTGTATAAAATGACTGGATATGTATAAAGGAATTACGTTGTCATGTGCCTTTAACCAGCTTTAGTAATTACTATAATCTCATATTTATGATCGTTTTGTTAGGTGACAGGACCAAATGAAAATATTTTATGTTTTCCCGTCACTTTAGATTTTATCATTGTGTAAATTACTGGGTTTTTAGCATTTCCTAATGTGAAGTTTTAATCATTTTTAAGTATACATATTTTTTTCTGTACCATTTAAATAAAATATTTTTATAACTTTCTTGTGAGTTTTGTTCATGCAAACTTTGGAATGACTTCTGGTTTTTAGCTATTAGCACTTTGAATTAACCATAGAAATAACAAGGGCTAACTCTGTTCTTCAAAGACTTTATAAAGACAGTATTTGCACTTTCAAATGCAAATATATCTACATTAAATCTAAACAGCATAAGCATTGTGACAGAATGTACCTCATGTTGATTGTTTTCTCTGTAAGGTGACTTCTAGTAATGATTTGACTTAATCACCACTTGTGTCTGGTTCAGATCATACCCTGCCATTTACTAGCTTCAAGACCTTCAGTAGTACAGGTTTAGTATCCCTAATTTCAAAATCTGAAACTTTTTGATTGCTGATATGGCACTCAAAGGAAATGCTCATTGGAGCATTTCGGGTTTTGGAATACAATGCAAGTATTCCAAAATCCAAAACACTTCTGGTCCCAAGCATTTCAGAGAAGGGGTAGTCAGCCTGTAATCTTTTTTCAGCTGTGAAGTGGGAACAATATCTGTCTTGTAGGGTTGTGGGTAATAGTAATAATGTTTGTAAAACACCAATTACAGTGCCTGACACAGTAGGTGTCCACTCAATAAATGGTAATGGAGAGGGAAAGAAAGGGAAAGCAGAATCTAGGATCAGGAATATCACATCCCGTCATGATGTTTGCAAAGGGGAAAGTCAGGCATGATGAGTAGACAGAAGTAAACCCAGTTTGTTGTCATGGGTATGTGAAGGTGTGGCGAGAGTGTCATTTAAAATAGGGAGCAAGGCCAGGCAAAGGCCACAATCAGGCAGCCGAATCAGGCAGTGATGAATCAATCAGGCAGTGATGTGAGGGTCCGGCACAACCGAGGCAGCAGCCCGGGAAGGGAGGACATTTGGATCACACTCCCTGGAGGGAGCTTGGGTGGAGAGTGCCCCAGTGTCAGCCTTCACACATTTTATATCTTTTTTTTTTTTTCTTGAAGAGTATGTTTACAACATGGATAGAAATCTAAGGCTGGCATGTGTTTAAAACAATTAGTTAAAACCCAGTTTCCCAAGAGCTAATAACTGGCCAATTAGGATGGTATGAAGATTGTCCTATTACTTAAAAAAAGACTTTTTGAGACAGAGTCTTTAACTTGTCATAACATGTCTGAACAGGATCTAGTTTGAGACACTAAGAAGGATAAGACATCAGTTTGAAAAGAGACCACATTAATTCTGCTAAAATCGAAGCAAGAACAAACATCAATTTATTATGAAGCTTGGGTGAAAAATGGTAAAATCACTAATGCTTCATGAAAAGTTTATGGGAACAATGCCCCAAAGAAATCAACAGCTTACAAATGAATAACTTGTTTTAAGAAGGTATGAGATGATGTTGAAGAGGAAGCCCTCAGTAAGAGACCCTACACACGAATCTTTGAGGAAAAAATTCATCTTGTTTATGCCCTAATCAAAGAGGACTGATGATTAATAGCAGTTAACAATAGCAGAAACAATAGACAGTGTCATAGACGTCAAATTGGTTCAGGTTACACAATTCTGACTGAAAGCCAACTTTGCACTTGATGGGTGCCAAAACTGTTGTGCCCAGATCAGTTGCAAACAACAGCAGAGCTTTCAATGGAAATTTAAACAGTGGGATCAAGATCCTGAAGCATTTGTTCGAAAAGTTGCAACAAGTTATGAAACATGGATTTCGTAGTACTATCCTGAAGACAAAGCACAATCAAAGCAATGGCTACCAAGAAGTGGAAGTGGGTCAGTCAAAGCAAAAGCAGACCAGTCAAGAGCACAACTCATAGCAACAGTATTTTGGGGCTCAAGGCACTTTCCTTGTTGACTTTCAGGAGGACCAAAGAATGGTAACATCTGCTTATTATGAGAGGGTTTTGAGAAAGTTACCCAAAGCTTTAGCAGAAAATTCTTGGGAAAATTTCAGCAGAGTCCTCCTCCACCATGACAATGCTTCTGGTTATTCCTGTCATCAAGGGCAATTTTGGGAGAATTTTGATGGGAAATCATTACAGTCCTGATTTGACTCCTCCTAACTTCTTTTTGTTTCGTAATTTTAATCTGTAAAGGATACCCTTTTCAGTTAATGTGTAAAAGACTGCATTGATATGGTTAAATTCTCAGGACCTTCAGTTCCTTAGGGATGGGCTAAATGGCTGTAGCATGACTTATAGAAGTGTCTTGAACTTGATGGAGTTTATGTTGAGACATAAAGTTTATATTTTCAATTCATTTTTTCCAAGTTTTGAAGTCCAAGGGTACATGTGGAATGGCTAGATGGAGTTCATTAATATATGCATTACTTTGCATACTTATTTTTTGTGGTGAGATTTCTTAAAATCTACTCTTCACAATTTTTAAAATGCTATAAATTGTTATTAACTATAATTACTAAGCTGTACAATAGATCTCTTGAACTTACTCTTCTTACTTAAATGAAATTTTGTACCCTTTGACCAACATCTCCCAACCCACAAATTCCACCTGCTGCCCAGCCCCTGGTAGCCACTCTTCTACTCTCTACCTATATGACCTCAGCTTTTTTAGATCTACATATAAATGAGATCATGTGACATTTGTCTTTCTGTGCTTGGCTTATGTCACTTAACATAGTATCTTCCAGGTTCATATCCATACTGTTACAAATGTCAGGATTTCCTTTTTTTTTTCTTTTTTGAGACAGGGTCTGGCTCTGTCACCAAGGCTGGAGTGCAGTGGCACAATCTCAGCTCACTGAAACCTGGACTTCCCAGGCTCAAATGATCCTCCTACCTCAGCCTCCCAAGTAGCTGGGACTACAGGTGCACACCACTGGGTTTAGCTAATTTTTTTTTTTTTTTGAGAGAGAGTTTCACTCTTGTTGCCCAGGCTGGAGTGCAATGGTGTGATCTTGTCTCACCCACAACCTCTGCCTCCTGGGTTCAAGTGATTATCCTGCCTCAGCCTCCTGAGTAGTTGAGATTACAGGCATTTTTAGTAGAGAAGGGGTTTCTCCATGTTGGTCAGGCTGGTCTCAAATTCCTGACCTCAGGTGATCCACCTGCCTCAGCCTCCCAAAGTGCTGGGATTACAGGCATGAGCCACCACACTCAGCCTTTTTATTTTTATTTTTATTTTTTTGTAGAGTTGAGGTTTTGCCATGTTGCCCAGTTGGTCTTGAACTCCTGGGCACAAGCAGTCCACCCACCATGGCCTCCCAAAGTGTTGGGTTTACAAGCGTGAGCCATTGTGCCCGGCCATTTCCTTCTTTTTAAGGTTGAATAATATTCTGTTGTGTATGTATACAATGTGTATACATACACACATTTTCTTTGTCCGTTCATTCATCCATTGATGGATGCACAGGTTAATTCCATATCTTGACTATCATTTGTGTGTTATAGATTAAATTTTTGCTCACCAGAAGATCTGTTGAAATCTTAACCCCTGGTTCCTCTGATTGTGGCCCTATTTGGAAATGGAGTCTTTGTAGATTTAATTAAGATGTAAATTACAATGAAGTCATACTGGAGTAGGTTGGGCCCTTAACCCATTATGACTGGTGTCTTTATAAGAAGAGGAAAAGAGACACAGATACAAAGGAAAGATGGTCAAGTCACAACAGAGGCAAAGATTGGAGTGATACAGCCACAAGCCAAGGAATGCTAGGGGTTGCCAGCAACCAGCAGAAACTGGAAGAGGCTGGCGATGACCCCCCATTGGAGCCTTCAGAGGGAACTTGGCTCTTCTGACGTCTAGATTTTGGACTTCTGGCCTCCCAAACTGTGAGAGAATAAATTTTCATTGTTTTGAAGCCACCCCGTC
This sequence comes from Homo sapiens, assembly GCF_000001405.40. NCBI lineage: Eukaryota > Metazoa > Chordata > Mammalia > Primates > Hominidae > Homo > Homo sapiens. Next base: position 127,628 of record NT_187367.1, read on the forward strand.
AGTGGCACTTTGTTAGACCCACCCACTTGGCTGTGCACAGTGACTCATGCCTGTAATCCCAGCACTTTGGGAGGCCGAGGTGGGTGGATCATGAGGTCAGGAGCTCAAGACCAACCTGGCCAACATGGTGAAATCCCATCTCTACTAACAATACAAAAAATTATCCAGGCATGGTGGTGTGTGCCTGTAATCCCAGCTACTCGGGAGACTGAATCAGGAGAATCACTGGAACCCAGGAGACAGAGGTTGCAGTGAGCCAAGATCACACCACTGCACTCCCGCCTGGGTGATAGAGTAAGATTCTGTCTCAAAAAAAAAAAAAAAAAAAAAAAAAAGAAGAAGTGAATACACTGTCTAACTCTTTTGTTCTTAAAAATACTGGGATTACATAGCTACCACCAAAGGTGACTGGGGGCAAAATGTGCTAATTGCCCCTTGGGACCTTCTATTATCTCTGGTAGTTGAGAGTGCCAGTGGGCCTCTGGCCTTGTGAAATCCTGTCAACTTCACTGGAAGAAGGGAGCTCATGTGATCATTAAAAAGGAAACAACAGGTGCTGGAGAGGATGTGGAGAAATAGGAATGCTTTTACACTGTTGGTGGGAGTGTAAACTAGTTCAACCATTGTCGAAAACCGTGTGGTGATTCCTCAAGGATCTAGAACTAGAAATACCATTTGACCCAGCGATCCCATTACTGGGTATATGCCCAAAGGACTATAAATCATTCTACTATAAAGACACATACACATGTATGATTATGGCGGCACTATTCACAATAGCAAAGACTTGGAACCAACCCAAATGTCCATCAATGATAGACTGGATTAAGAAAATATGGCACATGTACACCATGGAATACTATGCAGCCATAAAAAGGATGAGTTCATGTCGTTTGTAGGGACATGGATGAAACTGGAAACCATAATTCTGAGCAAACTATCGCAAGGACAGAAAACCAAACACTGCATGTTCTCACTCATAGGTGGGAATTGAACAATGAGAACACTTGGACACAGGATGGGGAACATCACACACCGGGGCCTGTCATGGGGTGGGGGGAGGGGGGAGGGATAGCATTAAAAGAAATACCTAATGTAGATGACGAATTAATGGGTGCAGCACACCACCATGGCACATATATACATATGTAACAAACCCGCATGTTGTGCACATGTACCCTAGAACTTAAAATATTAAAAAAAAAAAAAAAGAAAAAAAGGAAGGGAGCCCATGCCCGAGGGCACCATGCCTCCCTGTCCATCTGCGTGGTACTGAATCATCACTGGGAAGCAGCTGCCTGGTCAGGACGTTTCCAGCTTTTACACTGATTGAGCCATGCCACACAGTTCTCAGGACACAGTGTGGGCAGGGGTAACATGCACCAAATGTGGTGAAAACAGCAGGCCTGGGCACCACCAGAGCACCATCTCTGACCCCTTGTATCTGCCCATCATGGAGCAGGGGTCAGTCGTAAGAAATTGGGGGCCCCGTGTGGCTCAGACTTTTGAAAAAAATCTCACTGGTGGAAGGCAGAACACAGTGTGGGTAAATCTCTCAGTTTTATTTATGTATTTATTGAGATGGAGTCTCTGTCATCCAGGTTGGAGTCCGGTGGCACAATCTTGGCTCACTGCAACCTCTGCCTCCTGGGTTCAAGAGATTCTCCTGCCTCAGCCTCCCAAGTAGCTGGGATTACAGGTGTGCACCACCACACCAGCTATTTTTTGTATTTTTAGTAGAGACGGGGTTTCACCATGTTGGCCAGGCTAGTCTCGAACTCCTGACCTCAAGTGATCTGCCTCGACCTCCCAAAGTGCTGGGATTACAGGCTCTCAGTGAGTTTTAACATTGTCTTGAGATTACAATAAAGGGGGCTGACTTTAGCCTCCAGAAACTTTCATTTCATTGCTTCTTAAAAAAATGCAGGCCAGGTGTGGTGGCTCATGCCTGTAATCCCAGCACTTTGGGAGGCCAAGGGGTGGATCACCAGGTCAGGAGTTGAGACCAGCCTAACCAACATGGTGAAACCACATCTCTACTAAAAATACAGAAATTAGCCAGGCATGGTGGCAGGCGCCTGTAATCCCAGCTACTCGGGAGGCTGAGGCAGGAGAATCGCTTGAACTCAGGAGGCAGAGGTTACAGTGAGCTGAGATGATTGTGCCACTGCACTCCAGCCTGGGTAACAGAGTGAGACTGCATCTCAAAAACAAACAAACAAACAAACAAACAAACAAACAAACAAAAGTGCAGGTAGCCCAGAGACAGGCATTCCACTTGATTTTCAGATAGTGACTGAGTGTTATTTATCTTTGTACTCAATGGGTTAAGGTACTGCTAGCTGCTGTAACATTTCAGACTTTGGTGGCTTAGCACAATGGAAGTTTATTTCTCACTGATGTAAGGTCCAGCTTCGGGAGGAAAAGCCACCTCACTAGTCACTGGGGAGACACGCAGACAGGCTCTTCCATCTTCAGCTCAGCCTCCCAGGTTGCTCTGGCTGTTGGTAGGAAGAGGAGGGGAGAAGGTGGAGGATTCCCAGTAGGTTTGCTGGATCCTCTCTCTGGACTGCCTTTCCAGACCCCTGCTCCCTTCCACCTGGCCATCCACTCCTAAGCCTAAAGAATGTGCAGGAGGCTGGACGTGGTAGCTGGAGCCTGTAATCCCAGTGCTTTGGGAGGCTGAGGTAGGAGGATGCCTTGAGCCCAGGAGTTTGAGATCAACCTGAGCAACACAGCGAGACCCCTGTCTCTACAAAAAACAATTTTAAAAAACTGAGCCAGGCGTGGTAGCACACACCTGTAGTCCCAGCTATTTGGGAGGCTGAGGTGGGAGGAGCACTTGAGCCCCAGAGTTCGAGGCTGTAGTGAGCTATTATCACACCACTTCATTCCAGCCTGGGAGACATAGGGAGGCCCTGTCCTTATTAAAAGATAAAAATAAAATAAAGAAAGAAAGAAGACTGTGCAGGTGTTGCCTCCTCCCTGAACCTCGCAGCCTTCCTGCAGACCTGGGCTCCTCCCAGGCCCCTGGTGGTAGCCCTGCTCAAGGGTGCTGTGCTGCTTACTCTGTCCCCACCCCCAAGCTCTTAGAAGTTGAGGGCTAAGTCTCACAGGTCACGCTCCCCAGCTTCCCAGTCAAGGCTCATTAGCTGTTTGTTTATTGCTGTTTCTCTACCTGAACATCAGCTCCACCTGAACAGAGCCTTTCATAGCTGAAACCCCAGCGCCTACAACAGAGACCAGCAAATGATTCATAGGTCAACACATACATGTGTGTTGATCAAATGAATGAATGCATGAATTGGAAGAATGATGGCGGCAAGGCAAGGTCCCCCAGGTTGACTTCTTGCCGGCCCAGGACTCCCCACCCCTCCTTTACTAGTCAGGACCTGCTATTGCAATTTGCCGCGCTTAGCGCAAAACAAAAACCTGGGCCCTCTTGTTCAAAAATTAAGAATTTCAAGACTGCAAGAGCCTTAAACCAAGAGGGAGAGGGTGTCTTCCGGGGCCCAGCCCCGGGCTGCTGCATGGTGGGATGGGGGCTCGCCCCAGGCTCGCTCCCAACTCCCCTCTACAACCTGCAGCTGGGGGGCTGGGGTCCACCGCCTCCTGTCAGCCACGCCCGACCGGTAGAACGCTCTTCTGCAGAAACTTCCCAGACCTCCACTTAATGGCACCCGAGCAGGGCGCCCTGGCAGACGCAGTCTCCTTCCGGGAGCAGGCAGGTGCAAGGCAGGCACCGGGGCTTTGGAAGGGGCTGGTGGAGATGCTTGGGCGCCGGTTGCCCCAGGGCAGACCCTGGGGCCTCCCTCATTCCAGCTCCTCTGCGTCCAGAATGGCTGCCGCTCCTTTGGGGGAGGGTGCGGGATGGTCTCTTTTCTTAGAAAGTGGCTCAGGTCTTATTCTGCGCCTGGGCGTCTCGCAGCCGACACACAGGCACACCAGATGGACAAACAGAAAAACCCACAGAAGGCGGCCCCTCCCCCAATTCAGAGAGCCAGTGACTGGCGCTCCTCCACCCCTAACCAGACACACCCGAAAACAGACGGCCAGACACAGAGTGACCAGCACAGAGAAGACAATACAGAAATACGCAGGGACAAGGACAGACCATCGGACGCTCGGCCACGGACCCAGGCAGGATCACCTGGACCTCTGGGTTCCCCAACGGAGACCCTCGGGGAAGGCCCGGAGCATCGCACTCCCCTGTGGAGCCCCGTGCGCCCCACTTGGCAGCAGCCACGCCCCCCGCGCACACCCCACTTCGGGCTGGCTCTGGAAGACCCCCTCTCCCCAGCCCCGCAACCCCGGGACTCTGGGAGGCATCTCTCGTCACCCAGCGTTTCTGAGGCGCCGGGACAGGGGCTGGGTGGGTGGGCGTCGGCGTAGGGGTGAGGGCTGCAGACGGTGGGCGGGGGCCGGGCGCGCGGGCAGAGGTGCGGGAGGACGCGCTAGTGTCGGGGCAGGGCTGGCCAGTGTCCCAGGGATCAGGAGCCGGGAGCGGTCCGCGTGGGTCCCGGAGGGGACAGATGGCTGCCCCGGGCGTTGCCCAGTGAGGGGCAGTGGGCAAGGGAGCTCGTAGAATCCCGGGTCAGCGGGGTGAGGCGCTGGGTAAGTGGACAGGGTGGTACCTTGACTGAGGACGAAGGGGCAGAAGAGGGGAGGGCGGGCGTCGGGAAGTGACAGGAGACGGGGCAGGTTGTCGGGGGCGTGGGGTAGGAATCGGAGGGGAGTTGAAAAGGGGGGGGCTGGTTGGCAGAGGCGTCCGAGCAAGGACAGGAGCCAGGAGCGCAGGCGGGGCCCGACGGCAGCCACCCCCGGGGCCAGACTTGGCGCGGGTGTCTTGAAGATGCTTGAGGGCCTGGGGTCGCCCGCCTGGCCCCGGGCAGCTGCGAGCGCCTCAGTCGCGGGGTCATCGGGGCCCGCGGCCTGCCCGCCTCCCTCGCCGTCGGCCCCGAGGTGCCCGGAGTCCCCGGCCCCCCGGAGGGGCGGTGTGCGCGCCAGCGTCCCACAGAGGCTGGCCGAGATGCTGAGCAGCCAGTATGGGCTGATCGTGTTCGTGGCGGGGCTGCTGCTGCTGCTGGCCTGGGCCGTGCACGCCGCGGGCGTGAGCAAGAGCGACCTGCTGTGCTTCCTGACGGCGCTCATGCTGCTGCAGATGCTGTGGTACGTGGGCCGCAGCTCCGCGCACCGCCGCCTCTTCCGTCTCAAGGACACGCACGCCGGCGCCGGCTGGCTGCACCGGCTGGTGAGTCCAGGCACCGGGCAAGCGGGTCTCTGCCTCCTCGCCCGCTGGCTGCATCCTGAGACGGCTCTGCCCCCTTCCTACCACTGCCGTCTTCCCTTCAGCCTTTTCTGCCTTGGTCTCTCTGTGCATCTTTCCTAGCTTTCCTATCTGCCCTTCCTTCTTTCCTCTCTCTCTCTCTCTCTGAAGCCTGGGTCGTCGCAGGAGCCTCCTCTCCGCCTCCAGACGCTTCCATCATTACAGCCACAGTTACAGAAACCTCTCCTGTCCTTCCCTGGCTTAAAGCCATACAGTGGCCCTACTGACCCCATGAGGGAGGTCACGCTCCCTCTCCTGACACTCAGAGCCTTCTAGCACCCGGCCACCGAGGGCCCGTTTCCTTTGATCCCCTTCTTTGTTCTCATCCTATGCTGGGGTCATTCTCGAGGACTTTCTCTCCTGTCGCAGGATCTCTGCCTCTGCACATTCAGCACCTTTGGTTCCCTCCTCCAGGAATGTCTTTTCCACTCTCCCACCTGCCCCTCTGCTTTCCGAGACAGGCCTCAGGCCTCACCCCATTCTCCCCGCGAAGCTTCTCCGACCCCCTTCTCTTCCCCGCTTTGCAGGTCTGACCGCACGCTCCCAGCCCGCACTGGGTTCCAGTGTTCTTGTCGACATGTCTGTACCCTCCACTCCACTGGGGAGCTCTGTGATCCCTGTCTCTCGGTCCTAGAGCCACCTCAGGGCCTGGCACAAGTGGGTGTTGAGAAAATGAGGGGGGATGAATGATGTAATGAATGCGTGGATGCAGGGTGGGGCAGAGAGGGATAGAGGCTCCTGCTGGTACTCACGGGCATTGGCTGAAATCGTCAAGATAGGAGCTCTTCCTTTCTCAAGGGGCTGCCACATCTTTTTTTTTTTTTTTTTTTTTTTTTTTTTTTTTTGAGACAATGTTGCTCTATCTCCCAGGCTGGAGTGCAGTGGCACAGTCACAGCTCACTACAGCCTCTTCCTCCTGGTCTCAAGCAATCCTCCCACTTCAGCCTCCTGAATAGCTGGAACTATAGGTACACATGGCCTTGCCTGGCTAAGTTTTGTTATATTTTGTACAGATAGAGCCTCGTTGTGTTGTCTCCTGTTCTCAAACTCCTGGCCTCAAGGGATCCTCCTGCCTTGGCCTCCCAAAATGATAGGATCACAGGCATGAGCCACTGTGCCTGGCTGGGGTTGCCAGTCTTGAATGGGAGACAGACATGGTGCAGGTGAAAGGGAGGAGGCCGTGGGGAGCATGCTTGTGAAGAAAGCTTCTGTCTGAGTAACCTTCCCAGGAGAAGCCGACTGCATTTCACACCACGTGGTCCAGACACATCACACATTGCCACTTGGATTCTCATATTAGACCTGAATTTAAATCTCCATTAGAGTGGGGCTTCCGTGTTCCTTGCATGCATGACCTCGGGCAAGTTGCTTGATTGCCTTCCTTACCCTGAACCCTGGTGTCGGCATCTGTAGAATGGGGATCTCACACTGGATAGGATCCAGTGATTGATGAGGTGGCTGCCCAGCACACACTAGGCCTCCTTTCTGCACTTCTTTCAAAGGTCCTGGCCAGATGCCACCTTCTTCACAAATGCCTGGCAGGAATTACTCCTCACTTCCATGGGCCACCATGGCCCTCCTTCTGTAAAGCTCTTTTGGTCCTTGTCTGTTTCTGCCTTGTATTATGACTGTTGAATATTAGCCTTATCATCCAGAAGAGATTTTAGACTTCTTAGGCTCAGGGACTGGATCTAGTTCATCTTGCTTTTGGGGAAATTTGACACCATTGCAGGGTGGCCCAAATTCCTGTTCTGAAATTGGTTGTTTTAGGGAAGTTAATGGTTTTGTGACTCTGTGAATGACAGTGAATGTGGTGCTGTTTAAAACAAGGCACAAAGTGTTATTTTAGGATATTGACTTACACAGGCTAAAAAGTATTATACACATGAGCCTTTACCTGTGTTTTCCTACAGTCAAAGCCCCCTTGTTTGTTCCTCACTTCTTTTTCTCCTCCATCCTTTTTTCTCCCTTCTTCCTTCCCTCTTTCTCCTTTCCTTTCTTCCTCTTCCCTCCCTCCCTATTCCCTCCCCTTCCCTTTTCTCTCCCTTTTCTTCCTTTTTATCTTTTTTTTGAGATGGAGTCTTGCCCTGTCACCCAGGCTGGAGTGCAATGGTGCGATCTCGGCTCACTGCAACCTCCGCCTCCCGGGTTCAAACGATTCTCCTGACTCAGCCTCCCAAGTAGCTGGGATTATAGGCGCTTGCAACCATGCCCAGCTATTTTTTGTATTTTTAGTAGAGACGGGGTTTCATCATGTTGGCCAGGCTGGTCTCGAACTCCTGACCTCGTGATCTGCCTGCCTCAGCCTCCCAAAGTGATGGGATTACCAGTGTGAGTCACCATGCCCAGCCTCCCTTTCCTTATTTTTTTCCTCATTTTCTTTCTCTCTTCTCCTCCTTCATTCTTCCTTCCTCTCTTCCTTCCTCTAGCCTTCCCTCCACTATCCCTCTTCCCTCTCTCCTCTCTTTCTCTTCCTTCCTCTCTTCCTCTCTCCTCTGCTGTTTTTGTTTTTGTTTTTGAGATGGAATCTCACTCTGTTGCCAAGGCTGGAGTGCAGTGGCTAGATCATGGGTCACTGCAACCTCCATTTCCTGGGTTCAAGTGATTCTCCTGCCTCAGCCTCCTGATTAGCTGGGACTACAGGTGCACATGCCACCACACCTGGCTAATTTTTGTATTTTTTAGTAGAGACAGTGTTTCACCATGTTGGCCCAGTTGGTCTCAAACTCCTGAGCTCAGGTTATCTGCCTGCCTTTGCCTCCCAAAGTGCTGGGATTACAGGCATGAGACACCACGCCCAGCCTGGTGCATTTAGAATGTTCCTCCTTCTCCTTCTCCTCTCCTTCTCCCCCTCTCCCTCCCCCTCCCTTCCCCCTTCCCACCCTCCCCTTCCCCCTCCTCCTCCCTCTTCTTCTTCTTCTTCTTCTTCTTCTTCTTCTTCTTCTTCTTCTTCTTCCTCTTTCTTCTTTTTCTACTCAGTCTATCCTTATCCAAGGAATGCTCTTCTTTATATTGAAGTGCAGTTAACTTCCCAGAACCATCATCCTCTTCCCTGGAGCTTCTATCATCATTCACTTATTTATCCACCATGCATCCATCCACCCATCCACACTTATTCATCATCCATCCATCCATCTATCCATCCATCCATCCATCCATCTGTCCATCCATCCGTGTTTTTTTGTTCTTCCTCTCTCTCTGCCTCCTTTCAGGTTGACTCCGAGCATTGGCGCCTGAGTCTATGGGTGAATGGTTGCACCATTTCCCAAGATTGGGAAGCCAAAGGGAAGAGCAGGGTGGGGACACAAAACCAATGACATGTTACAGTTCTCTTATGGACATGCTACATTTGAGGTGTCTTTGGGACACTAAGTAGAGAGGGAATAAATGGGCAAGGTAGAGAGAGCACGTGATAGGTGTTCAGTAGGTGGTAGCTCTTTAGACATTCAGTGAGTTGCCCCATAATAATGTAATTCAAGTGAGGTGTGTGTATCATGGAAATGGTGTTGGCTCTGGAGGGCTTGGCTTGAGGTCTCAGCTCTGTCACCTTCACCTTTCTGAGTTCTGCTTTCCTCATCAGTAAGATAAGAATCCCAGTCGACTCTCTGGGAGGAGCTGGGGGATGTTGAGAGAAGCAGTTTGCAAAGCCCTGGCCATTCCTGTGGGTTCCTCAAAGAAGCAAGACGCTAATTATTAGTGTCGAGAGGCCCCGATGCCAAAAGGAAGCACCTTCAGCCCCAACAGGGACTGGGGTTTCCTCTGGAATTCTAGCTGGAAAGACAGGTTTGACCCGGGAACTCAGCTCTGCCCTGGTGTTGGTGACAATCTTAGATCAATAGGCAGAGGGCAAGTCCCTCAGGAAAAAGACCAGTGATCCTCAAGATCCATTCTGGGGCCACTATGAGGGTCTTGCTTAACTGCATGCATTTTCTTACTTATTTCTTTTCTTAGATGATATTTCTGGTCCAATGGAAAATATAGACATAGTGTCACGATTTCAACACAAACGAGCGAATGTGGCTGCCAAAAAATCAGATGCAGGCTTGGCTTTCATTGGAAAGGAAATCAGACTGTGTGTGGAGGGTCTCATCCTCCTTGAGCATTTCACAGGCCCTTGGAAAGAGTGGCGGCAGGAGGAGCAAAAGGAGGTTCAGTCCAGAAGAGAGAAGGATGCGGAGGTCACAGGGTAGAAAGTGCTGCTGCCTTGCACCTGTCAGCTCCAGGCCATCCTCTGTCTTTCAGCAAGTAAGAGTCATTTCCTCTGGGAAGCCTCTCCCGATAGTTTCAGACCAGGGGAAGCCCCCATGTTGTATGGTCTCATAGCACTCTTCATTTTCTTTCTAGCACTAATCAAGCAGGATATTGTATTATTCAGTGACTGTTGGGGTAGCCAGACTGAGCCCCTAAAGGCAGAGACCCTGTCTGAATGTGCTTACCATTGTATCCCGAGCTCCTGGCACAGTGCCTAACATGTAGTAAATGCCAATTCCTAGCTACTGAATAATTGGATGATTGAATGATTGGGTGGATGGATGGATGACTAGATGGGTGGATGAATAAGTGAATGATGATAGAAGCTCCAGGGAAGAAGACGATAGTTCTGGGAAGTCAACTGCACTTCAATATAAAGAAAAACATTCTAAAGTAAGCACCAGGCCATGCGTGGTGGCTCACGCCTGTAATCCCAGCACTTTGGGAGGCTGAGGTGGGCAGATCACCTGAGGTCAGGAGTTTGAGACCAGCCTGGCCAACATGGTGAAACCCCGTCTCCACTAAAAATACAAAAAGCTGGGCATGGTGGGACACAGCAAATTATGAATCATTTGCTGATCTCTGTTCTAGGTGCTGGGGTTTCAGCTATGAAAGGCTCTGCTCAGGTGGAGCTGATGTTCAGGTAGAGAAACAGCAATAAACAAACAGCTAATGAGCCCTCACTGGGAAGTTGGGGAGCGTGACCTGTGAGACTTAGCCCTCAACTTCTAGGAGCTTGGGGGTGGGGACAGAGTAAGCAGCACAGCACCCTTGAGCAGGGCTACCACCAGGGGCCTGGGAGGAGCCCAAGTCTGCAGGAAGGCTGCGAGGTTCAGGGAGGAGGCAACACCTGCACAATCTTCTTTCTTTCTTTATTTTATTTTTATCTTTTAATAAGGACAGGGTCTCCCTATGTCTCCCAGGCTGGAATGAAGTGGTGTGATAATAGCTCACTACAGCCTCGAACTCTGGGGCTCAAGTGCTCCTCCCACCTCAGCCTCCCAAATAGCTGGGACTACAGGTGTGTGCTACCACGCCTGGCTCATTTTTTAAAAATTGATTTTTGTAGAGACAGGGGTCTCGCTATGTGGAGTGCCTGTAATCCCAGCTACTCGGGAGGCTGAGGCAGGAGAATTGCTTGAAACCAGGAGGCAGAGTTTGCAGTGAGCCAAGATCATGCCACTGCACTCCAGCCTGAACAACAGAGTGAGACTCCATCTCAATAAAATAAAATAAAATAAATTAAAATAAAATAAAAATAAAACACAAAGTAAGTACCAGCTGGTGATGGAAGGGTGCGCTTTGAGAGATGTTGAGCCTCCCAGCCCTGGGCTTGTCCAAGTAGAGATCAGATGGCTTCCGGTCATGATGCATTGGAAAGCATTCTTGCATGGGATAGAATGCAGACTAACTCTGTGGGACTTTCCGCCTCTAAGAGGGGGGTTCAAGATTCTAGACTCCTAGGAGGGATTTGGGTGCCTAACAAAGAGGAGGGGGTTCCCTCTGCCATCACTAGATGGGTACCCTATGTAGTCTTTGGATTATTCTCAAGTATTGTAGCTGGTAAACTTTCTAATTGGTTCTAATGCATCAACATTTTCTTGGCGATTGAGTGATGCTAATAACATCCCGCTTATAGAACTTTCTAGGTAAGGAACACTGTTCTAGGTGACTTCCATGTAAAGACTCACTTAATCTCCTCAGCACCCCTATGAGATAAGTGTTATTACTGTCATTACATCTTAGAGATGGGGAAACTGAGGCAAAGGTAAGTTAAGTAATTGCGAAATTATATATGTATATATATTTATACATGCATAAATATATATGTATATGTGTATATATACTTATCTATGTATATGTGTATATATATACTTGTATATATATATTTATACATATATATGTGTTTATATAAATCAAAATCTGTTTTATTTGGGCACATGTGTGGCTGTTATAGCTTCCTCATACAGTCGTTGTGTTTTTTGTTTTTTGTTTTTTTTTTGAGACAGAGTCTCACTTTGTTGCCCAGGCTGGAGTGCAGTGGCATGATCTCGGCTCACTGCAACCTCCGCCTCCCAGGTTCAAGCGATTCTCCTGCCTCAGCCTCCTAAGTAGCTGGGACTACAGGTGCCCATCACCACACTGGGCTAATTTCTTGTGTTTTTGGTAGAGACAGGGTTTCACCATCATGGCCTGGCTGGTCTTGAACTCCTGACCTTAAGTGTTCCGCCCATCTTGGCCTCCCAAAGTGCTGGGATTATAGGTGTGAGACACCGCGCCCAGCTGCCTATTACTTCATTCTTATTTGAAAACAAAATATTGAACATTTCCCTCAGCAAGCCACACTGTGTCCCACTCCAAGATGTTCACTGCTCCCACTTCCTCTCTACCTAATGGGATGAGATCTTTAGGATACGTTTGCCTCCCTATTCCTTTCCCTTCTTCCCTCTCCTTTTCCATTTATTTACCTTGAGGGCTTTCAAAGGTTTTTCTTTGTTCCCTATCCAGTCCTTTTCCAACTTAGGTTTTTTGTTGTTGTTGTTGTTGTTTTGTTTTGTTTTGTGTTGTTTTGTTTCAGATGGGGTCTCGCTCTGTCACCCATGCTGGAGTGCAATGGTGCAATCTCAGTTGACTGCAACCTCTGCCTCTTGGGTTCACACCATTCTCCTGCCCCAGCCTCCCAAGTAGCTGGGACTACAGATGCTTGCCACCACACCAGACTAATTTTTGTATTTTTAGTAAAGACGGGGTTTCAGCATGTTGGCCAGGCTCATCTCGAACTCCTGACCAAAGGTGATCCATCTGCCTCGGCCTCCCAAAGCGCTGGGATTACAGGTGTGAGCCACTGTGCTTGGCCGAACTTATGGGTTTTGTAGAGATAGTTAATAGAATTTCGCCTCAAAATGTCTATTCTGTATGACAAGTCTTTATAGGGTATGTAAATTACACATCTCAGGCAGTTTATCCATTTGAATTTAAGTTCTTCTTTTCTCTCCTATTAATCTAATTATCTATCTCCATCTGTCTCTCCATCCATTATACCTCCACCCTCCTCTAGCCTTCCACAGAGTTGATTGGTCACTATAATTTGCTCTCCTCCTCATCTTCCCCTCTTTTGGGGACTCTCTTCCAGTTCACAAGCTCCTTGGTTAAAGTCCTTTGTCAGACAAGTTATGTGGATGACAGTTTTCTCTGTTCTCTGTTCAACAATCACCTCCTTTCCTGCCCATGTACCTTCAACCTCAGTCCCCTTTTCTGCTTTACTTTTCTTCATGCACTTAGCACTTCCTGACATTCTTTATGTGTTTACTATTTACCGGTTTATTTTTTGCCTTCCCCACTAGATGTGAAACTCCTCAAGGGCAGATACTCTATTTTATTGACCTTTATATCTTCAGTGCCTGGGACAATGCCTGGCCCATGGTTGCTGCTCAATAAATAGCTGTTGAAAAAATTACATTTTGTATACTTCAAACATCATTCTGCCTTTTGCCCTGACACATGGGCGACATCTTAGCTGAGAATAAGGTTTTTGAGGTGCAGTCTTTTCCTTGTGGCACATACGTCCACTGTCTTCTGGTTTCCCAGGCTGCACAGAGGAAGTCTGTTGCCAGCTCATCTCTCTGATATTTTGTGCACACCCTAATTTATGCAATATTATACTCGTATATTTTTGTTTCTACAGCAATCTCCTATGTCTGTCTTTGAGCCCTTGGCACAATGTCTCATGCATAGTAGGAGTCCCCAAGGTGTTTGTTGTATAAACAACTGGCTGAATGAATCCATGGATGAATGGATGAACATAGGAAGAAAGGGAGGACTTAAAGAGTATATTATTGAACACTTGGCATGTCAACCACAGAGATGGTCTAGACCAGTAGTTTTCAAAGCGGGGCCTAGATCAACAGTGGCAGCCCCACTTGAAAACTTGTTAGAGATGAAAATTTTGGGGCACCACCCAGACCTACTAAATCAGAAACTCTGGAGGTGGAGCCCAGGAATTTGTGTTTTAACAAGCCCTGCAGGTGATTCTGATGCAGTTTCCAGTTTGAGAACCACTGCTGTAGACCATCCGCATTTTCTGTATGGGAATCCTGAGGTTGGGAGCAGGAAGTGACTCATGTATTCTGTGAGTGTCCAGGTCTCCGTACTTTCAGGCCTGTACTCTTGCCACTCAACCACGCTGCCTCACCTGATCTTGCTATGTTTTTTGTAATTAAAACCAACCACGTATTTGTCAAAACATTTCAAAGCACTGGGATTGAATCTCCACTCTTACAACGTTTCCGATTTCATTGGGGTGTTTCCAGGATTAAAAATGTGAGTTAGAGTTGTTTCTATAAGGCTTTGAGCAGTGGAAAAGTGCCAGGTGATTGCATTACTTTTCAGAGGAGGCTTCTCAGGCTGGGGCTGTAACGTTATAGCCCAATGTTATGGCTCATGCCCTCCTCTCTGCTCAGTGCCTTAATGCATGTCATACATGATCCAGTTTCCTCCTGTTGGTAGGAGCAAATGTGTAAATGGCAGTCATTGCTAGCCCAGGAGGGAGATGAGGAACTCTGACTTGATCAAGCACTCATGATCATTGCCTTTTTCTCACTAATTTCTTCATTTGTCACCAAGTGTCTTTTTAATGTATTTTGTACATTCCTTTCCAGTCTTTTTTATATGCAAATTTTTTATTAGTTTGTCTTTATGTTTTGGGCAAAGCCATGCTCATTATACTATCAAAGATTGCTTCCTTTCCTCAGTACACCTAGCACAGGCCCTTCCTCAGCTACTACTATAGAGCCCTTACCCATCTATTTTTTTTTTCTAATATACTTTCAGCCGGGCTCAGTGACTCATGCCTGTAATCCCAGCACTTTGGGAGGCTGAGACAGGCGGAGCACTTGAGGCCAGGAGTTTAAGACCAGCCTGGCCAGCACACCTGTAATCCCAGGTACTTGGGATTGAGGTTGAGGCACAAGAATCACTTGAACCTGGGAGGTGGAGGTTGCAGTGAGCCAAGATCGTGCCACTGCACTCCAGCCTGGGTGACAGAACAAGACCCTGTCTCAAATAAATAAATAAATAAACTTTCCATTTTAGAAAAGCTTTAGATTTATGGAAAAGTTGCAAAGACAGTTCAGAGAATTCCTGTATACCTGTATGACCTGCACACTCTGCACTCTTATTTCTTATTATTTCTTATTAATATATATATATTTTGAGACAGAGTTTCACTCTTGTTGCCCTGGCTGGAATGCAATCATGCAATCTCGGCTCACTGCAACCTCCACCTCCCGGGTTCAAGTGATTCTCCTGCCTCAGCCTCCGGTGTAGCAGGATTACAGGCATGCACCACCACACCCGCTACTTTTGTATTTTTTAGTAGAGATGGGGTTTCTCCATGTTGGTCAGGCTGGTCTCGAACTCCCAACCTCAGGTGATCCACCCACCTCGGCCTTCCAAAGTGCTGGGATTACAGATGTGAGCCACTGCACCCAGCCAGCTGCACTCTTATTCTTTAGAGAACAGGATTTTAGGATTAGAGAACTGAGATTTTTGAGTAGAGCAGTGACATTCTTAGATTTCTCCTTTTTGAAAAAGCTTCTGGGAGCATTCTGTTGACTGGACCAGGCTTCGTTGATTGTGTATCATTTGTCAGACTCTGGGCTATGGGGTGGGTACAATGATGAACGGGACACAACACCTGCCTTCTAGTTTTACCTTCGCAGCTCAACAGTAGAATTTGTTTATTTATTTAGAAATAATTATTATGTTATTTTTGGGTAGAGATGGGGTTGCTTAGGCTCTTGGCCTCAAGTGATCCTCCCGCCTTGGCCTCCCAAAGTGCTGGAATTACAGGCATGAGCCACCATGCCTGGGCTAGAATTTATTTTATTAATATATTTTTAATTATGGTAAAACATGCATTTATATACATAAAATTTACCAACTTAGCAGTTTTCAAGTGCACAGCTCAGTGGTGTTAAGCACATATGCACTGTTGTGCAACCAACCTCCAGAACTTTTTCATCTCGCAAAACTGAAACTCTGTCCTCATTAAACACTAACTCTTCATTCTTCCCTCCCTCTAGCACCTGGCAACCACCATTCTATTTCTGTCTATGAATTTGCTTACGTTTGATACCTCATATAATGAAATCCTACAGTATTGTCCTTTGGTGGTTGAGTTTATTTTACTTAGCATAATGTCCTCATGGCTCATCCATACCGTATCGTGTGTCAAAATTTCCTTCCTTTTTAAGCTGAATAATATTCTGTTGTATGTCTATACCTCATTGTGTTTATCCATCCATCTGTTGATGGATGCTGGGTTGCTTCCACCTTTTGGATACTGAAAATAATGCTGCTATGGACAGGAGAATACAGATATCCCCTCGGGTCCCTGCTTTCAATTCTTTTGGGTATATACTCAGAAGTGAAAATGCCAGATCATGCCATAATAGTATTTTCAATTTTTTGAAGGCCCTCCCTACTGTTTTCAGTAGTAGCTGTACCAATTTACATTCCTACCAACAGAGCACTATTTCTCTATATCCTCACCAATGCTGGTTATTTTCTATTATTTTCTTTTTTTTTTTTTTTTGATAGTAGCCATCCTGATAGTGTGAAAGTATTTTGCAGTTTTGATTTGCATCTCTCTAATAATTAGTGATGGTGAACATCTTTTCATGTACTTGCTGGCCATCTTTATGTCTTCTTTGGAGATATGTTTATTCAAGTCCTTTGCCAATTTTTAAATTGGCTTTTGTCATTGTTGATTGATCGATTTTTGGAGACAGAGTTTCGCTCTTGTTGCCCAGGAGTGCCATGGCATGATCTCGGCTCACTGCAACCTCTGCCTCCCTGGTTCAAGGGATTCTCCTGCCTCAGCATCCCAAGTAGCTGGGAATATAGGCATGCACCACCATACCAGGCTAATTTTTGTATTATTAGTAGAGACAGGTTTCACCACGTTGGCCGGACTGGTCTCCAACTTCTGACCTCAAGTTATTCACCCTCCTCGGCCTCCCAAAGTGCTGGGATTACAGGTGCGAGCCACTGTGCCCAGCCCATTGCTGTCAATGTATAAGAATTCTCTATAAATTCTCTCATAGCAGCATTATTTTCAGTATCCAAAAGGTGGAAGCGACCCAGCATCCATCAACAGATAGATGGATAAACACAGTGAGGTATAGACATACAACAAAATATTATTCGGCTTAAAAAGGAAGGAAATTCTGACACATGATACAGTATGGATGAGCCATAAGGACATTATGCTAAGTAAAATAAACTCAACCACCAAAGGACAGTACTGTACGATTTCATTATATGAGGTATTTAATGTAAACAAATCTGTATATTGTGGATATTAATGACTTATTAAGTATATAATTTGCTAATGTTTTCTCCGGTTCTGTGGGCTGTCTTTCCACTTCGTTGGTAGCATCCTGTGATGTGCAAAAATTTTTCATTTTCATGTAGTTCATCTTATTTATTTTAATTTTTGTTGCTTGCATTTTTGGTGTCCTAGCCAAGAAATTATTGCCAAAGCCAATGTCATGAAGCTTTCTCCCATGTCTTCTTTTACAAGGTTTATACTTTTATGTTTAGATCTTTTATCTGTTTTGAGTTAATTTTTGTATATGCTGTAAGGTGAGGGTTCAAATTCATTCGTTTGCATGTGGACATCCAGTTTTCCCACATTTGTTGAAAAGACTGCCCTTTTCCCATTGAATGGTCTCAGCACCCTTGTGAAAAAATCATTTGACCATATACATAAGGGTTTAATATGTAATATAATTTATTTTGAAATGACATCAATGTATATTAATGGAATGTGTGTGTTTCCACTTCCCCCTTTATCCCACATTTAGGTAGTATCACATTGTTTGCAGTCATTACCATCATCCTGGGATGCCTTAAAATTAGATACTTCATTGGATTTTCAGAATGTTTATCAGCCACTGAAGGAGTTTTCCCTGTCACCCATTCAGTGCATACTTTGTTGCAGGTAAACCACTGATGTTTATTCATGTTGTCTCATTCCTGTGAAGTGTATCCCAGGTTGTGTAGAAACTTGTAACATCAAGACATGTGGCAAGTGGAGACAGTGTGCACAGCTGTGAACTGCAATGAACTGAGGTGAACTGAAGTCTATCTTTGAGGCTTAATTCTTCAGCTGCCTCCATTGCAAAATAAAACTCTGTGTCCCCATGGCCATTTTTGCAGGGATCCTATGAGGCAGAACTTCTAATGATGAAGAGTCAGGAAATTCTGCCAAGCCAGGGTCTACAGTAAAAGCTTGAGGGAGTTTTATTTTCTGGGTATGTAACAGGTTTATTGAGAGAATTCACATGGCATATAATTCACCCATTTAACATGTGGAATTCAACGGTTTAGTCTGTTCATAGAGTTATGCAACCATTGCCAAAATCAATTTTATTTTTTAAAAAAATTTAATATTCTTCCTACATAGAAACCTTGTGCCATTGCAATGCCTCCTCTGGGTCATGGAAGCGCTTTTGTTTTCTCGTTTGGGGATTAAAGTCTTAGAAATGTATAAGGATTTTTTCCCACAGCATTGGTAAACTTGGTATGGCTCAGAAGGAAGGATTTGATAAATATAATTTAAATACATAGCTTAGGGTCAGAAAAATCTCATGGTTGAAAAGAATGTTAGATGGGCTTTCAGGGTAGTGTTCGCCCTTGGCAGAAATCCGTGGTAATGTTATCAGAGTCAGGATCTGAATTGTTGAATTGTCAGTCTCATTTTTTTTTGTTTTTTGTTGTATATGTTTAAGGTATACAACATGATTATTTGATATTCCTATCCATAGTGAAGTGATTACTACAGTCAAGCATATTTATGTCTGTCATCTCACATAGTTGCCTTTCTTTTTTTGG
The DNA here is from genome assembly GCF_000001405.40 of Homo sapiens. Taxonomy (NCBI): domain Eukaryota; kingdom Metazoa; phylum Chordata; class Mammalia; order Primates; family Hominidae; genus Homo; species Homo sapiens. Next base: position 146,103 of record NT_187367.1, read on the forward strand.
ATGTGGTAAGAGCACCTAAAATCTATTCTCTTAGCAAATTTCCAGTATACAATACAATAGTATTAACTACAGTCTTCACGTTGTCCATTACATCTCTAGAATTATTCATCTTACGTATTTGCAACTTTGTACCCTTTGACCAAAATCTTCTAATTTTTCCCCTCCAACTACCATTCTACTCTTTATGTTATTTTGTTTTTATTTATTAATTTAATTCAATTTTAGAGACAGGGTCTTGCTCTGTTGCCCAGGGTAGAGTGCAGTGGTGCCATCACGGATTACTGCAGCCTTGAATTCAGCTCAAGTGATCCTCCCGCCTCAGTCTCCCTAGTAGCTAGGACTACAGGCCCACATCACCATGCCCAGCTTCTACCATCTGTTTTTATGCATTGGATTAAAAACGTTTTTCTAGATACTACATATAAGTGAGATTATGCAGTATTTTTCTTTCTGTGTCTGCCTTATTTCACTGAGCACAATGTCCTCCAGATTTGCCCATGTTGTTGCAAATGGCAGGCTCTGCTCTCATTTTTTTCTAACGAAGAAGTTGGAGCTCAGAGAAGACAAGTGACTTGCTCAAAGTCACTGCGGAGACACAATGATTATTTTCTTCCTGACAAGTCACCCTGGAAGACCATGAACTTGTTCTGGTGATACTGCCATTGCTGGAAATATTTTTGGATTTCCAGTTTGAGAAGGTTCTTTGGAAAGTTTTCTACCTCTAGAAAACCAGGGATGACATTTTTAAAACTTCATCTTTTATCCAAAGTGACCGTCAGCTTGTACCCCCAGCTGACTTACCAGACAGCACTGGATGACCTTAGAGTGTTTCTCTAGATCAAACACATTCTCAAACAGTGAAGCTAACAGACAGAACGTGCCCAGTGAGCCTGGAAACAGTTTAGCTCCATGGTGGCATGGTGGGATCACTGGGGAGCTTGCTGAGGGGCTCATTTGGAGGGGCTGCCTTGCACTTGAAAGCTGTTATGAACTGAGTCATATCCCCTGTGAAATTCATATGCCGAAACCCTCATTCTCAGTACCTGAGCATGTGACTGTATTTGGAGATAGGGTCGTTTAGAGGAGATTGAGGTTAAATAAGATCATTAGGCTGGCCCAAATTCAATATGCCTAGTGTCTTTATTTTTTATGTTTTTGAGACGGAATTTTGCTTGTTGCCCAGGCTGCAGTGCAATGGCATAATCTCGGCTCACTGCAACTTCCGTCTCCTGGGTTCAAGCAATTCTCCTGCCTCAGTCTCCCAAGTAGCTCGGGTTACAGGCACCTGCCACCATGCCCAGCTAATTTTTGTATTTTTAGTAGAGATGAGGTTTCACCATGTTGGCCAGGCTGGTCTCGAACTCCTGACCTCAGGCAATCCACCTGCCTCGGCCTCCCAAAGTATTGGGATTACAGGCGTGAGGCACTGCGCCTGGCCCTGGTGTCTTTATAACAAGAGGAGAGAAGGACACAGACACACACAGAGAGACAGCCATGTAAAGACACTGGAGGAAATTGACCATCTACAAGCCAAAGAGAGAGGCCTCAAAAGGAACCAACCCTGCCCATACCTTGATCTTGGATTTCTAGCCCCAGGACCCTGAGAAGAGAAATTCCTGTTATTGAAGTTGATGATCTGTGGTCCTTTGTTATGGCAGCCCAAGCTGATCAAAGATAACTGGCTGCTCATTCCAGGGGAGCCAAATCCCGTGAAGACAGAGCCTTATAGTGATACAGTGACAATGTGGAAAGCTTTCGTGAGGCCAGAACGAACTGCATTCGTTCATTCATTTTTCTTGTAGTTCATCTTTAAATACTGGACGAACATTGTTCTCAGCATGGGGAATACAAGGCTGTAAAGTCTGTGTCACACACCATGGGGGTGTCAGTTAGGTGAGAGGCAGTCCCCAAAACAGTGACAACGCTGGGCTCAGTGCTTTGACCAGAGTGTCCAGAGCAATGAGGGAGCACAAAGGAGGGCATTTTGGCAGCTTGGAGTGACAGTCAATTTCTGCCAGGGAAGGTCCCAGAACCGTTTGTGAGAGAGGGAGGAGCACAGGGTTAGTGGGTCAGAGGCCACTGGAAGAGGGTGTCTTTGGGACATGCAGTCTTTCCTCACAGTGGGGTAGCGGGAGGATGTGTGGGCACAGGCTGGATCCCTGTTTGGTGTAGGGCTTGTAAGCTTGCACTCTGGTCAGATTGCATGACTCTGGCTCTGACCACAGCTGTGTGACTTCAGGCAAATTACTTAACTTCTCTGGGCCTCATGGGTCTTACTTGCAAGGTGAGGACAATCACAGTACCTACTTCATGGGCTCGTTGTAGAGATTAAAGGCACATGTGTATGAAAAGCACTTGGCACAGGGCTAGGTGTGCAGCAAATTCTTGGTCAAGGCTGACCGCCACCTAGGGGCTTGGGCTTCACCTCGAGGGCAGTGGGGAGCCACTGAAGGCTTTAGGCAGAAGAATGACTGGGACAGATATGAATTTTCAAAATATCCCTCTTAGTTGGTGGGTTGGAGATCCTAGCTTTCTAATTTAAGGCATTTTATTGGCCAGGCAAGTCAATGAATTAATCATTCTATACCTGTTGGACACTTACCATGTGCTTTTGCTACATTAGATGACTGGCGAATGGAAAAAAGTATATATAACAATTAGGCGCTGTTCTAAAAAACAGAGCATTTATTTTAAAATTGTGGCAAATACTGAAAAACCTGTAGATATCAGGATGAAATCGCTTTTGTCAGACCCAGGCAAAATAGGCCTGGGAAGGCGCTAAGGAGAGGGCACTTCTGTCTACGTGTCTGAGATACAAAGTGTTTCCAAAGACTTTCTAAAAACCCTTCATGCATCTCCTGCTTTGAAGAGGTTGGACATTACTAGACATTCTTTAGGACTGCAGTAAAGCAGATAAGATGCTCTTGGAAGAACACTTGTCCAGCACTGGCATCTCCACCAATGAACTGATGACAACTCTGGCTTTGAGCCTCTAGAACCGATGAACTCTTTTTCTCTGTGGATTATGTAAATCTCTCTTTGCTAATAACAGCTCCTCCTTACCCTTCCCTCACCGAATGCGCTGGTGGCTTGCCATTCCATGCATTCTGGACTGTAATTCCTATTTCCAAGTAAATCCAACATATTTAGTGATAATTTTCTCTAGTGTCTTTTTTTTTCAGGTTGACAATCACATAACATTTACCATCTTAGTCATTTTAAGCGTATGGTTCATTAATGTTAAGTACATTCACTTGTTGTACCACCAATCTGCAAACGTTTTTCATCTTGCAAAACTGAAACTCTGAGCCCACTACACAACTCTCTATTTCCTCCTCCTCTGGCTTTTGGCAAACTCTGTTCTACTTTCTGTCTTTATGAGTTTGAATATTCTAGATGCCTCATATGAATTGAACCATACAGTATTGGTCTTCTTGTGTCTGGCTTATTTCTCACAGCATAACGTTCTCAAGGGTCATCCATGATGTAGCCAGAATCATGGCTGAGAAGGAGCCGTGTATTTGTGTGCACATGTCTGTCTCACCCTATGGTGCCTGAGGCTCTCCCAGGGCTGCTTGAGAACTGAGTCCTTGTGTTTTTCAGGTTTGGGGTGATCCACTTGGTGTTCACCAACCTGCTTCTGTGGGCCAACGGCGTCCTCAATGAGTCAAAGCACCAATGAGCACAAGGAATGGCTCATCACTCTGGGCTTTGGGAACATAACAACAGGTGAGTGCTGAGAGAGGTGAGTGGCCCCTCTGCCATGTTGGAATGTCTTGGAAACCTGCAGAGTCCACAGTGTTCAGAGATGGAGTGCAGGTTCCAAAGAACTTCAGGCCCACCAAAGTCAGCATCAGCCAGACAGCCCCCTGTTGTTGAAAATCTTCCAAAACCTGAATCTCTCATAAGTGATGTGTACTGAGCATAATTAAAGGTTTCTTCCATGACTCAGGGACTTGTAAGACCCACGGTGATCATTCTGATGGCCATTTCTCATGGTCCAGTTTGCCGCAGAAATAAATGTCTTTGTTTTCAACTACAGAAGATTGATGGTTGCCTCTGCTTGTGTTTTTAATTAAACCTCTATTACCAGTTCTTTCTAGTAAAAGTATGGCTTTTAAAAATTCATAAAAGTCTAATGGTAGGTTGTGGTTAATAGGCTGTGGTTCATTTAAAGTTTTAATTTAACTGTAGTTGGCTTATAATTCTAGCTCATGTCTGTTCTGCCTTGTTCCTATTTGAGAGCCTGTTGGGTTAATCTTTATATTTTCATCTAAAATCCTTTAGCATTTACAATATGTCACTTCTATATGAGAACATTCAGGCTGAGGGGAATGTGGGGCAGGGAACTGGGTGTCTCAGGTTTGTTCCCATCATGTACAAGCTGTGTGACCTTTAGAAGACATTTAATCTCTCTGAGCCTCCCTTTTCTCATTTGTAAAGTGAGGGTATCCAAATCATGCACTTGCAAAGATCCCTTCCAGCTTTAACATGCAGCAAGTCTGTGACAGCTGTGTGAACCCAGGCTGTCCTGGAGAGCCACTTTGAACCTGTTTTGTCATCAGTGGGGTGGAGACAACGAAGTCACCACCCCCAACCAGCAGGCACTCGGTGTTTGGGCCTCATGTCCTCCTTGGTATCAATATTAGTAGCAGCAATGACCACAATAACAAAAGTAAATTTTTATTAAGCATTTGCTGAGTGCCAGCCACTGTTGTTGGAAATTTACACATGTCATTTAATTTGTACCCCCACACTCTCTGGTAGGCTATATATGTGTGTATGTGTATATATATATATATATATATATATATATATATATATATATAGTTGTTTGTTTGTTTGTTTTGAGACAGAGTCTCACTCTGTCGCCTAAGCTGGAGTACAGTAGCGTGATCTCGGCTTACTGCAACCTCTGCCTCCCATGTTCAAGTGATTGATTCTCCTGCCTCAGCTTCCTGAGTAGCTGGGACTACAGGTGCATGCCACCATACCTGGCTAATTTTTGTATTTTTAATAGAGACGGGGTTTCACTATGTTGGCCAGGCTGGTCTCGAACTCCTGGCCTTGTGATCCGCCAGCCTTGGCCTCCCAAACTGTTGGGATTACAGGCGTGAGCCACTGCGCCTGGCCTCAGGTAGACAATATTAACCTCATTATATGGATGAAGGCATCAAGCCACGGAGAAGTTAGCCCAGGGTAACACAATGAACATGTGATACAGCCATGATTTGAATCCTAACAATCTGGCTTCAAGGCCCTCTGTGAAAGATGAGGTTGGATTAATTTTCTAAAAAAGGACTCTGTCAGCTGTAACATTCTGTTACTCTGAACTTTTCCTCCTGATTTCTTCCCTTGTCTTCTGCATAACACCGTATTGAATTGTAAGTGCTAGGGAAGCCCTGTGTGAATTGAAGATTATTACTGGGGCAGTGACTCACACCTGTAATCTGAGCACTTTGTAATCCTAAGGCAGGAGCATTGCTTTAGCCTAGGAATTTGAGACCAGCCTGGGCAACAAAGGGAGACCCCAGCTCTGGAAAAAAAAAAAAAAAAAAAGCCAGGCATGGTGGCATGGGCTCGTGGTCCCAGCTATAGCTACATGGGAGACTGACGCAGGAGGATCACTTGAGCCCAGGAAGTCAAGGCTGCAGTGAGCTGTGTTTGTGCCACTGCACTCCAGCCTGGGCAACAGAGGGAGACCCTATATAAAAAAGAATAAAAAAAGAAAAAGAAAATTTCATAGTGTTCTGTGAAAGTAAAATTAATGCTACGATATAGTTTTTCTCAGATTTTTTTTTTTTAGACGGAGTCTTGCTTGTCGCCCAGGCTGGAGTGCAGTGGCATGGTCTCGGATCATTGCAAGCTCTGCCTCCCGGGGGTCACACTATTCTCCTGCCTCAGCCTCCTGAGTAGCTGGGACTACAGGCGCCCACCACCACGCCTGGCTAATTTTTTGTATTTTTAGTAGAGACAGGGTTTCACCGTGTTAGCCAGGATGGTCTCAATCTCCTGACCTTGTGATCTACCTGCCTCGGCCCTCCAAAGTGCTGGGATTACAGGCATGAGCCACCACGCCCAGCTGCTTTTCTCAGATTTTATAAGTAATATATACATATCATAAACTAAAACAATGACAAAGTGTGAAGCAAAAAAATCCACAACACTTACCCAGAAATGCAGTAAATGCTGTGAATGTTTGGTTATTTTTTTGTAGTGTGCCATTTATTTATAGTTGATTTTATACTATATATTTGATCTTTTTTTATTGCAACCTTCAATAAGAGACAGATTTTACACTGTAATCCAAACACGCACATACTTATGTGTGTATGCTTGATGAAATAATACTTAATTTTACTGTATCAGAGATGCTTCCAAATTTTATCGGAGTTGATTCCACTCCATTCTATCCTATTCTAGTCCACTGAAAATTATTTCTGCTACAAAAAAGTTGGTTGCTACCTGATTTTACAGCCTTGTACTGGGTTGTGACTTGCATTAAAGAAATATACAGTTTGTTCTTACTTTTTTCCATTTTCCTTGAAACGAGATTACTTTCTTAATATTAAAACACATCCTGGCTGGGTGCAGTGGCTCATGCCTTTAATCCCAGAACTTCGGGAGGCTGAGGCGGGCAGATCGCATGAGCTCAGGAGTTCAAGACCAGCCTAGCCAACATGACGGAACGTTGTCTCTACAAAAAATATAAAAATTAGCCGGGAGTGGTGGCATGGGCCTGTGGTCCCAGCTACTCAGCAGGCTGAAGTAGGAGGATGCTTGAGCACAGAAGGCTGATGTTGCAGTGAGCCAAGATTGTGCCACAGCACTCCAGCCTGGGCAACAGAAGGAGGCTCTGTCTCAAAACAAACAAAAAACAAAACAACCCCCCCCATACCCAAAACCATAAAGCACATCTTAATTATAACGTGCAGTGGCTGTCTACTATCTCATTGTTGGGATATACTAAAATTTACTTAACAATTTCTAAGTTGTTGGACCTTGAGCTGTTCCTCTCTCTCTCTCTCTCTCTCTCTCTCTCTCACACACACACACACACACACACACACACACACACAATTTTACCTGACTTTTTTTTAAATTATTTTTTGAGACTGAGTCTCGCTCTGTCACCTAGGCTGGAGTGCAGTGGTGCGATCTCAGCTGACTGCAACTTCTGCCTCCCAGGTTCAAGCGATTCTTCTGCCTCAGCCTCCCCAGTAGCTGGTATTACAGGCTTGCCACCACACCTGGCTAATTTTTGTAGTTTTAATAGAGATGAGGTTTCGCCATGTTGGCCAGGCTGGTCTCGAACTCCCGACCTCAAGTGATCCACCTGCCTTGGCCTCCCAAAGTGCTGGGATTACAGGGCTGAGTCACCACTCCTGGCCTTACCTGACTCTTTGATTACATTTTTTTATTTGTCCCTTTGAGTAGAAGGGTAGAATGGAAAGAATGGAATTATGGGTCAGAGACTGCATCGCCTTCAGGGCTTTGGTGACCTGTTTCGTCATTTACTTGCAGCATCTGCCTTCCTGTGATGAGAGGGCCCTCCATATGACAGCCAGCTTCTCTTCCAGAAGGTGGTGCCCGTTTACTTTCCCCGCACTGATATCGGAGAGCACCTGTCTCCTGCATGCTTGCTAGCACTGGAGTCTTAAGAGGCATATCTTTTGCTAATTAAAAGGGGTATTTTCTCCAGAAAGTATTTTTTAAAAATAATCTTAAAAAATCACACATGTAAATCATCTTCACAGAGAAAATTTAGAAAATACAGGGAAGCAAAATCTAGAAGAGATTAAAAATCATCTGTCATTTTTCCACCCAGAGATAACAATTGTTGACATTTTAGTTTGTGTCCTTCCAGGTTTTTTCCATCTGTCTGTGTGTGTGTGTATCCATCTATCTATCTATCATCTACATATCTATTTTTTACAACAATAGAGTCATCTTCTCTATCCTCTTTGGCAACTCACCAAATAAATGTGATTTAGGTAATGAATATGCTTTGGGGATACTCAGGGCTATCAAATTAGCCATGATATTAAACGTGATAATAAGCCATGACATGAAAAAGCTTGTAATCCAGTGGGAAGACCCAAGCCTGAATCCACAGTGGAAACAGTTTTCTGTGCTTTTCTGCTTCCCCTTGCACCTGCTAATAGCCCCCCTGTGTGATCAACCTGTCTCCCCTAGTTTTAGATGACCACACACCGCAATGTAACTGCACGCCCCCAACTCTCTGCACCACCATCTCCCACGGGATCTACTATATCTACTACCTCTACCCCTTCAACATAGAGTATCAGATCCTGGCCTCCACAGTGCTCTACGTCCTATGGAAGAACATCGGGCGCAAAGTTGACAGCCATCAGCACCAGAAGATGCAGTTCAAGCCTGATGGGGTCACAGTGGGCACAGTCCTGGGCCTGACCGCGCTGGCCGCCACCATTGCCGTGGTGGTGGGTGGTGTACCTGATTCATATTGGGTGCTCCAAGACCAAGAGCAAGTCAGCACTCATCACGTTCTACCTGTATGTCATCACCCTGATGAAGCTTATGGGGGCTGCGGGGCTGGCTGGAATCCGGATTTACAGGACAGATGAGAAGTCACTGGATGAGTCCAAAAATCCGCCCCGCAAACTGGACTCGGACCTCTTGGTGGGCACTGCCTCAGGCTCCTGGCTTATCTCCTGGGGCTCAATCTTGGCCATCCTTTGTGCCGAGGACCACCCCCACTACACCTGGTACAACCTGCCCTACTCCATCGTGGTGATCGTGGAGAAGTACATCCAGAACCTCTTCATCTTTGAATCCATTCACCGAGAGCCTAAAAAACTCTCTGAGGACATCCAAACCCTTCGGATGGTCACAGTCTGCAATGGCAACACCATGCCCCTTGCTTCCTCCTGCCTCAAGAGTGGAGGTGTGGCCGGAGACGTGGCTCCCTGGGGCAGGGACATGCCACCAGCAGCCAATGGAAATGTGTGCCTGAGAGAAAGCTGTGACAAGGAGGAGAAGCACGAGGAGAGCAGCTGGGGAGGGAACCCAAGCCCAGTCCACCTTCCTCGTTTCTTACAGGGCAACGCCAAGAGAAAAGTCCTGAGGAATATTGCAGCCTTCTTGTTCCTCTGCAATACTTTGGTAATCTGCACCAAGTTATTCTTATTCTTTTAATTTTGCTGTAAACTTTCATTTTAGGTTCAAGGGGTACGCATGCAGATTTGTTACATGGGTAAATTGCGTGTCGCTGAGGTTTGGTGCACAAATGATCCCGTCACCCAGGTAATGAGCATAGTACCCGATAGGTAGTTTTTCACCCTGCACCCCACTTCCGACCTCTCCCCCAGTAGTCCCTAGTAGTGTCTATTGTTCATATATTTGTGTTCATGACTACCCAATGTTTAGCTCCCACTTATAAGAGAGGACATGAGGTATTTGGTTTTCTGTTCCTGTGTTAATTCACTTAGGATAAGGACTCCATTTCTATCCAGGTTGCTGCAAATAATGTGATTTCATTCTTTTTTAAGACTGCATAATATTCCATGGTGTAGAGCTACCACATTTTCTATTTATTTTTTTTTTGAGAGAGGGTCACGCCCCATTGCCCAGGCTGGAGTGCAGTGGCATGATCACAGCTCACTGCAGCTTCGACCTCCTGTGCTCAAGCAATCCTCCCATCTCAGCCTCCTGAGTACCTGGGACCACAGGCATGTGCCACCACACCTGGTTAATTTTAAAAACTTTTTTTGTTTTTGAGAGAGAGTTTCACTCTTGTTGCCTAGGCTACAGTGCGATGGTGCTCACTGCAACCTCTGCCTCCCGAGTTGAAGTGATTCTCTTGCCTCAGCCTCCAGAATAGCTGGGATTACAGGCACCTGCCACCACAGTTGGCTAATTTTTGAAAATATTTTTAGTAGAGATGGGGGTTTCACCATGTTGGCCAGGCTGGTTTCGGACTCCTGACCTCAAGTGATCCACCTACCTTGACCTCCCAAAATGCTAGGATTACAGGTGTGGGCCACCATGCCTGGCCAAAACTTTTTTTTTTTTTTTTTTTTTTTTTGTAGAGATAGGGTCTCACTGTGCTGCCCAGGCTTGTCTTGAACTCCTGCGCTCAAACAATCCTCCTGCCTCAGCTTCCTAAAGTGCTAGTATTACAGATGTGAACCACTGTACCCGGCCATAATACATTTTCTTTATCCAGTCCATTATTGATGGACATCTAGGTTTCTCTTGGCCTTTTTAAAATAAGGAATGGAGGCAGCTTGTAATAAAAATACTGTAAGTATAAAATTACAATATAAGGCTGGAAAATAGACCTATATTCTACAAATCTACCTACTAAAGACTTGCTGTGTGCTAGGGGCTGGGCTAGGTACTAAAGATTAAAGTGGAAAGACTCAGTCTCTTTCCTCTAAAAGGTCTCAGTATAATGGGGGAGGGAGACAATGAGCAAATCTAATATAGTGAACAGGACAAGTGCTGAGATGGGCTTGTGCAAGGTGTACTAGGAGCAGGGATCCAGAAGGACTTCAGTGAGTAGTGGGTGCTTGAGGTGAGGCCCAGTGTCAATCAGGAGTGCTTTTAGTTGCAAGTGACAGGCAATTTGATTCACAGTGTCTTCAGTCTTAACAATGTTTAATTATCTCATGAGAATTCCGGAGGTTGGCTGCTTGGGGTTGGCCTGGCAGCTGAACCATGTCATCAGGCATCCAGGCACTGTTCATCTTGTCACTTGGGTGGTGTGGTGTTTGTTGTGACATGGTCATGAGATGGCTGCAGCTGCACCAGGCATCACATCTGGGTTCAAGACAGAAAGCAGTGGGGAAGGGCTGGTGCCAGACAATGTCTCTCATGTGGGCACCCCTCACTGCAAGGGAGGCTGGGGAAGTAGAGGGTTTGCTTCCCAGCCTCTCTGATGGAAGGTAGCAAGGGAGAGGAAGGTGTACAGTCACTCACCCATCTGTCTGCATCAGCAAGGAATGACTGGAAGTTCACCAGGTTATCAAGGCGGGGAAAAGCATTTCAGGCAGAGACACACAATATGTGAAGACACAGAGGCAAAAGACACCATGGCATGTTTTGAGAGCACCAAGTAGTTTGGCATAAATTCCATGTGTGTTAAGCAGAGTAGCAGAATGGGAAATAGGAGAGAGGGCCCAGGTAGGTGGACTCTGGCTTGAGCAGGGCTTCCTAGGCCTGGCTGGAGTCTAGTCTTTATGTTGAGGGCAAGGGAAGACTCTCTCAGATTTGTGTTTTGGAATGATCCTCCCAGTAGCTGTGTGTAGCAAGGACGGAGACAGATAGGGCCAGAAGCAGAAAGACTGGGAGAGAAAGCCCTGCAACAGCCCAGGCAGGAAGGGGAGGAGCTTGAACTAGGGCAGTGATGGAGGGATGGAGAGAAGAAAAAGGAATAAGAAGCATTGTGTGCTGTTGGGATTTTTTTAAAGACACATAAAGGAAGGATGGTGGGGGTCAGTAAGAAGGAGGGGGAAGCAGCCTTTGCCACCGCATGAGTCTCTGCAGTGATGGTGACTGGTGGCTGGAGGGGAGTGCCCCAGTCCACAGAGGTGCCTGCCCATCACTCTGGGTGAAGTCAGCTCTGTGCTACTAGCCTCTGTTATCAAGCCTGCTCCCTGTTGCCCCAGCAGCTCAGAGGCTTTTGAGCTTCCTCCCCTGAATTTCAGATGGTGCATACGGGGTCTGCAGCTTTTGATATCACCCTAAGAACACAAAGTTGGGAAAGTAAGTCCCTTCTAAAGTCAGAATGGCTGTGTGTCTGCCAAGCAAACCTGATCCACCCTAGCCTTGGATCACCCAGGTTCCTTCAGTTTGCTAGGCAGTGAGGAGGGGCTCTGAAGGTGGAAGGCCCAGAAGAGTTTGGCTGCAGGGAGACCCTCTTCTCCATCTAACAGACATTTGCCAGGCACCTGCTGTATGCCAGGGACTATGTCAGGGGCACAGCAGTGAGTCAAAAATTGAAAGAGTTAACAAGAGAGATAGATACTGTAAGCTGCATTTTTTTGAGGTGCATATTCCAAAATGCAAATTCTTATAAAGTCAGAGCTAGTTCTAGAATCTTCCTCAAGTATATGCTTTTTGTACATATCCTGTGATTAATATTAATATACATATATTTTGAGATGGAGTCCTGCTGTGTTGCCCAGGCTGTAGTGCAATGGTGCGATCTCGGCTCACTGCAACCTCCGCCTCTTGGGTTTAAGTGATTCTCCTGCCTCAGCCTCCCGAGGAGGTGGGACTACAGGCATGCAACAACCATGCCCAGCTAATTTTTCTACTTTTAGTAGAGACAGGGTTTCACTAGGTTGGTCAGGGTGGTCTCGAACTCCTGACCTCAGGTGATCTGCCTGCCTAGGCCTCCTAAAATGCTGGGATTACAGGCGCGAGCCACTGCTTCTGACCTAATATTTCTTTTTAAAACTAAGTTCTGAAAAGTTGTCTTTCCCTGGTTGCCTTTTTGGTTGACCACTGGGTGAAATACTTGGCTTGCATTTTTGGACCCACTTGAAGAAAGATAGCACTGTCCGAAATACCAGAATCAAGTGGCAATTCATGGTCTGTCAGGACCCGAAAGCCAGACCCAGGGCCCAGTCCAAGGAGAAGGGTGGGCTCCGTCTCTTCCTCCCTGTGCTTGGCCCATGATGCCCCCAGGCACTGGTTGGGTTCTGGGGGGTTGAACCAGAGGATGGAAATCATCGCAGGGTGGAGTCTTAGGATACCCGTGCTGGCTCATGGGTGGCACTTTGAAACCTTGTGGTTGACCCCAGGTGGTGCCAAAGGCATCTGGCAGAGAGCAAGAGCTGTCTTCTCCAGCATCGGGAGCCAGTCCAGAGGCCCCAGCTGCAGGTGCTGATGTGCATGTCCAGGTGGAGCGGGCTCCACTCCAGAGACGGACATGGAAATGTTAGTTGAATTTCCAGGAGCCGTGGCACTGGAGACAACAGAGGGTGGTTGTGGTGACCGGGAAGGGCAGGGTGCTGTGGGAGATGGGTCAGGGAAGGCCTCTTCTAAGGAAGGGTGTGGATGGGGCTGGGATGAGAGACTATCAGGGCAGAGCTGCAGGTGTGGGGAAGGGACGGATGCAAGGCAAGGCAGGGCTCACTGGACATGACCTGGGAGCACAGAGCAGAGGGCAGAGGGGAGACCACACAGGGCCTGCGAGCCAAGACTCAATCCTAAATGCAACAGAAAACCATGGAAAGGTCTACACTGAGAGTGACGGGATCTGACTCATGCTTATTTTGTTATATTTTTAATTGTGGTAAAAAACTCATCAAATAAACTTTCCCATTGCACCCACTTTCAAGTGTATAGTGGAGTAAAGTACGTTCACATTGTGCAAACATCACACCATCCATTTCCAGGTTATTCTCGTCTGGCAAAACTGAAACTCTGCCCCCATTAAATATGAACTCCCCATTCTCCCCAGCCCCTGACAACCACCGTTCTTTCAGTCTCTAGGAATTTGACTCCTAGACTCCTCATATAAGTGAATTTGTGGAGTATTAGTCCTTTTGTGATTAGGTTATTTCACTCATCATAACATCCTCCAGGGTCTCCAGGTTGCAACTCGCAAAGGGTGACAGATGCCAAACATGACCCCTGCCTTCACACTTGAGTTCCTGGGGAGATGGTGATACTATGTTGGAGATGGAGGAGGACTCTGGAGGAGGGGCAACCTTGGGAGCAGTGGGTGGAGGTCAGTGTGGAAGGAAGAACCAGAGTTAAGTAATGAACGTGTTCTGTTTCAGGTGCCTCTGTGGCATCCAAATGGACGAACCCAGTAGACAGATATTTTGGTTTTCTATTGCCGTGCAATGAACTACCACTAATGTATGACAAAAGCAACATGCATGACTGTTTTTGTCCCATAGCATTTATTGTGACTCGTGGCTTTGTGGGTTAGAAATTCTGGCAGGGCTTGGATGGGCAGTTCTGTTCCTCACAGCATCAAGTGAAGTTGGTGAAGCCTTGGCCAGAAGCTCCGTGGTCTGGTGCCTTGGGTGGGGGTGGCTGGGAGGCTGGGCTCAGCCAGGACTCTTGACTGGGGCATCCACAGGTGGGTCTCCAGCATGACGTCTCAGGGTGGTTGGACTCCATGCGTGATGGCTGAGGGCCCCAGAGCTGACCCTCCAAAAGACTGAACTGGAAGCTGCCTGTCTCCTAAGGCCTGGGCTTGGAAACTGCATGGTGTCATTTCTGCCATATTTTATTAGTCATGTAGTCACAGAGTCCATCTAGATTCAAAGAAAGAGGTCATAGGCCACTTCTCAATAGGATAAGTAACAAGAATTTCCAGCCAACTAAACAGCACATATAAAGATGTGGATTTCAGAAAAGAGGTCCCATTTTCCTGCCTTCCTTTCTTCTCCCTTTTCCTCCCTGTCTCCCTTGCCCTTCCTCTCACCCTTCCTTTAAAAGGTGTCCCTTAAGTACCTACAGAGGTACAGGGACTGCTATGAATGGTGAGGGTACAGCAATGACCAAGATCTCTGGTCTTCCTCTTATGGGGCTTACAAACCAGGCAACAGCAGGTGAAACCATCAACTGAGCAAGAAAGACACCTTATAGTGTACCCGTGTTAAGCAGAGAAGTGGAAAAGGAGGGTGTGGGAAATAGCTCTTGGGCTGCCATTGTAGATCAGATGGACCAGCTTAGCGGGAAGGCCTCGCTGAAGGGTGACACGAGACAGGAAGGGGTTGGCCACGCATGTTCAGGGCAGAGGGAACAATGGCTGGTATAAAACCCCCAGTGGGAGTGAGCGGGTCTGGTTTGAGAAACAGGAAGAAGGGTTGCCTGCAATGTGGGTGGGGTGAGTGGAGAGAAGCGTGGGTGGTTAGAAATCAGCTAACAGAGCACTTTATCACTCCGTGCGGGAGTGTAGAATTTATTTTAAATATTTTGGGAAGACTTTAGGGGTTTAATCAAGGTAGGGACAGGATCTGATTTCCATATAATGTAAATCTGGTGGCCGAGTGGAACCCTAGTTCGAGCTGGGAGACCAGGCACGGGGCCACCGCCATGGTCCAGGTGAGAGAGGCCGGCTGGACAGGTGGAGAGAGAGAGCCACAGGTGGGCTGAAGATACTGCTTTGGAGGTGCACAGTGGAGATGCGCTGAGGGACTGGATGGGAGGGGGCATGGTTATGAGAGTAGGAGGGAGATAAGGTTGACACCTGGAGCCTCGATGGACCACCTGGGAGGACGATGTAGCTGAGCAGATGGAGAAATGGGGAAGGTGGGTTGAGTTTGAGATGTGTTTTAGACACCCAAGTTGCCACCGGAAACTATGAGTCTGGGGTTCTTGGAAGTGGTCCAGGCTGGAGATTGAGACTGGGAAGTCATAGGCCTATAGCTGGTATTTACAACCAGGGACTGGGAGAAAGCCCCAGGGTTCATGTGTAGAGAGAATAGAAAGGGACCCAGGAATGAGCCCTGGACGCTGGCTAACATTAAGAGGCAGAGCAAAGGATGAAACAGCAAAGGAGACTGGGAGGGACCCGCCGAACAAGTAGGAGAGCTCCTAAGAGTCACAGCAGCCAGTAAGCAAAGCAGAAGAGAGGGGTCTTGGTTCCAGGGCCCCCGTGGTGTATACCAAATGCACAGATGCTCAAGTCCTATACTTGCATGTAACCTACCCATCCTCCCGTACACTTTAAGACATCTCTAAATTACTTAGAATACCTAATACAATTTAAATGCTATGTAAATAGTTGTTACATTGTATTGTTTAGAGAATAATGACAAGAAGAAAGTTTGTACCTATTCAGTACAGACACAACAAACCATTTTATTTTTTTAATTAATTTATTTTTATTTTTTGAGACCGAGCTTCACTGTTGCCCAGGCTGGAGTGCAGTGGCATGATCTTGGCTTACTGCAAGCTTCGCCTCCTGGGTTCAAGGGATTCTCCTGCCTCAGCCCCCTGAGTAGCTGGGATTACAGGCACATGCCACTACACCTTGCTAATTTTTTGTATTTTTAGTAGAGATGGGGTTTCACCATGTTGGCCAGGCTGGCCTTGAACTCCTGACCTCAGGTGATCCACCTGCCTCGGCCTCCCAAAGTTCTGGGATTATAGGTGTGAACCACTGTGCCCAGCCTACTTTTTGAATATTTTTGATCTGTGGTTGGTTCAATCCACAGACACAGGTCCCTGGATACAGAGGTCGGCTGTATATACCAGGGAGTGTTCTGTATGGAGATACAAATGAAGGCTATGTGTCTCAGTTACCTATTGCTATGGAAGAGACCACACCAATACTCAGCAACTTAAAACAATGTACATTTATGATTTCATAGTTTCTCTGACTTATGAATCCAACTACAGTTTTAGCTGAGTATCTCTGCACAGGGCCATTCCCAGGCTGAAACTGTTGGCTGGGGCTGCATTCATTTCAAGGCTTGACTTTCCGAGAGGTGGCAGAGGATTTGTTTCCAAATCTACTCATGTGACTGTTGGCAGGATTCAGCTGTGGCTTGTTGGGCTGAGGGTCTGAGTTCCTTGCTGGCTGTTGACAGGGGTACTCCCTGGGCCCCTTGCCGCATAGGGTGCTTCGCAGCATGGCAGCTCTGCCACCTGTCTTTCAGGAGAAGATGAGCAAGAGGGATAGCAGGTCCTTTTGCAACCTAATTTCAGAGGTGACTTCCTGTGTCTTTTGCCATATTTTGTGAGTTGGAAGTGAGTCATTAGGTGCATCCCACACTAAAGGGGTGGGGACTCCACAAGAGGGTGACTGCAGGAGCTGGGGATCATTGAGGGTCATCCTAGAGGCTGCCTGCCACAGCCAGGGAGTGGAGGAAGCTGAAGAAGGGTGCAGCCTGAAGCGGGAGTGAGGAGCCTGACAACTCAAGGGGTGGCAGAAAGGGAGAGAACTGGGACAGAGAAGAGCCTGAGAAGCAGGGAACAGTGCGTAGGTTCTGTGAGCAACACAAACAAAAGTCACTGCTTTCAGTTTTGCAAACTTAATTCTCATCTAAGCCCTCTCAGACACGTGTTAGAATTCCCATCTTTCAAATGAGGAAACTGAGGCTGGGCGAGGGCTGTAGAGATGGAGAGAGTTGGATGGGTTCAAAGAGCACTCATTAGGGATGGATTGCAGGGAAGGGTGGGTGAGGAAGTGAGCAGGATCATGGCAGACATGGATTTGGTGGTTTCTGTGGAGATGGGAAATGCCACGAGGTCTCCTTATTGTTCTGTCAGGGGTGACTCAGTCCCCGTGCATCAGGGTCAGCTCCCATGAGGCCTGGGACTTGAGTGGGGCCTCCGTGGTGGCTTGGAAGCTGCTCCCCACCACAGGCCATTTTCTCTTCTCTTGCAGCTTTGGATACCTCCCGCTTTTGGCTGTCGACCTGAGTATGACAATGGATTGGAGGAGATTGTCTTTGGCTTTGAACCCTGGATAATTGTGGTCAACCTGGCCATGGCTTTTTCTATTTTCTATGCAATGCACGCAGCTGCCTCCCTCTTTGAGGTCTATTGTAAGATATAGTCTGGGTCCACAAGAGACTAACAAGTGACTAACAAGAGTGAGCTAACAAGAGTTCATTGGAGCCAACTGGGAATGGCCAGGTTGGACAAATATTGCCTGACAAACATGAGAAGGGCCACCTTTTGTCTGCAAAGATTGTGCTTCCTGTGGGCTGGAACTGCCCATCACCCCTGATGAATGTAAACAAGTTAGATCAAAATCCATAAGGTGGCTGGAATCTGTCCTTGGTTAGTTAAATGCTAATCAAGCCCAAATTATTTTATTGCCTTCTAAATGATTTAGAAGAATGTGATTCTGGCTTGGGAAAAAATCTATCCAGTTTGTTTTTCATAAAAAGCATTTTCTTTGTGTCATTTATCATGTGACTCCATACAACCTTTTCCTGACCACCTGCATAGTAATTTATACTTTAAAAATTTATCCTTCTCAAAGCCTATGAATTTAGACACAATCACTATTGTTTCTGAATAGGTTTAATTTCTTGAAGTTATTTTTATCAGCTGGATAGAAATTTGTATACAGACCCATATAAAACACATTTCTTACCTGAAATGTTGGCACATTTTTGTGATCATTTTCAAGTATTTTTAAAAAGAAATTTCACTGTTCTCTCTTTCACTGTAAATACACACATGTTTATTGTAAAAAATTTGGATATTTCAGAAAAGTAGAGAGAAAAAGTCACCTACGATGCCATTGTTCAATTAACAATTACTTTTAATATCTTGGTGTATTTCTTCCGACCATGTTGATGAGATTCTTTTTATTGTCATTATTATACCTTTGAATGGTGATGTAACATATTTGATTTTGTATTCAGTTATTTTCCTACTTAACAATATGGCATAAACCTTGCCCCCATATTGTTATAAGTTCTTTATAAATATCATTTTAATGCTGTATGATAGTCTATCAAGTGAATGTACCTTAATTAACATAGTTTCCTATGGTTGGTTTTACAGTGTTTATAACTTTTTGCTTTTATAGGTAACTCTGCAAAAATCAACCATATTTGTGAAGCATTTCCTATATTTAGAATTGCTTCTTTAAGATATGGAATTACAATTAGGATGCCTAGTCCAAAGATTAAGTTTAGAAATATTTCAAAGGTGCCTAAGGAATATTGACATTTGGGAGGCCTTTGTATAGCTTTTCCACAGCTATTTTAAAATAATAATAAAATTAATTTTCTTAATGTAAGTATTAATGTATCTTTTCATTTGAGTGTATTTTTTTTCAGACAGTGCAGGCAATGGGACAGTAATAAATACAAAGTTTTTTTTTAACATGACTAAAGTACACTTATTTTAGAAAAAACTAAAAAATAGGCATATATACTAAAAAACAAAGGAAAGCATCATCTATACATGTCCCATCTAGAGAATCGGTTCTCCAACTGGGGACCTTGTTCCTTGAGGGGACATTTAGCAATATCTGAAGACATTTTTTAATATTTATTTTTTATTAAAATTAAAATAAATCTAAATTATACATAATATTTATACATACTTACAGGGTACATGTGATATTTTGATATAAACATATAATAAATAATAATCAAATCAGGGTGACAGATATTCATACCCTCAGGTATGTATCTTTTTTGTGTGTTAGGAACATTCTAATTTCACTATGTTAGTTACTCTAAAATATACAATAAATTGTTGTTAACTATAGTTGTACTTTTGTGCTACCAAACACATTTTTGATTGTTACACTACTGCACCCAGGGATACTGCTAACACCCTACAACACACAGGACAGCCCCACCACAAAGTCTTCGGGCTGATTGTCAATGGTGCTGAGGTAATCTAGAGGTAATTGCTGTTAAGTATTGTTATCTAGGTAGCTATTAGTACACACACACAGGCTGGACATGGTGGCTCACGCCTGTAATCCCAACACTTTGGGAGGCCACAGAAGGATCGCTTGAGGCCAAGAGTTTAAGACCAGCCAGGGAACACAAACATAGTGAGACCCTGTCTGTACAAAACACAAAACAAAAAACCCAGGTGCGGTGGAGTATGCCTGTAGTCCCAGCTACTCATGAGGCTGAGTGGAGAGGATCACTTGAGCCCAGGAGTTTGAGATTGGGTAGTGAGACAAGATTGTGCCACTGCATTCTAGCTTGGGTGGCACAGCAAGACCCTGTCTCTAAAAAATAAAAATTAAAAAAATTATATATATATATATATATTTTGTTTTTTTTATTTTTTTGAGACAGACTTTCACTCTTGTCACCCAGGCTGGAGTGCAATGGCATGATCTTGGCTCACTGCAACTGCCGCCTCCTGGGGTCAAGCGATTCTCCTGCCTCAGCCTCTGGAGTAACTGGGATTACAGATGCCTGCCACCACGCCCAGCTAATTTTTGTATTTTTAGTACAGACAGGGTTTCATCATATTGGCCAGGCTGGCCTTGAACCCCTGACCTCAGGTGATCCACCCACCTTGGCCTCCCAAAGTGCTGGGATTACAGACGTGGGCCACCACACCCAGCCGATATTTTTTTTTTTCAAAAGTACGCATACATCGACACCCACACCCACACCCACACCCACATGAAGGCGGTGTTTTTATGTATACTGCGTTTGTATGTAACTTGCTTTTTTCCTCTTGATACACCAGAGTGCTTCTTCCCTATTTTGGGTCCCAGGCATCGATGCTCTGGCTTTAGTGTGCCTGAGACTCATCTGGGGAACTTGTTAGGATTCCTGCCCTCCAAGCTGGAAGTGCAGATTCAGTCTGGAGGGGGGCCCGGAAGTCTGCACTTTCATGAGCATCTCAGGGGGTGCCAACTCCCTTTGATAAGCATCTCCTTGGACGTCCATGGACCCCAAGCTAGGACTCCCGAGTAAGTTTCCTTGACATTGCATATCCATATGCAGTATGATTTTGGGTGGATTTAAGGTACATTCCATGGAAGGATGTACCATTCCTTATTTTTTCAAACGGTGATGTTGGACATTTAGAGATATTTAGGTGGTTCCTTTTTTTGGTGCTACTGTAAACAATGCTATGGTGATCATCTTTGTAACTGAGTCTTTGAGGTCAGTAACAAACTATCCTCTGGAGTGATTTATGCTGACTAAGCAGTGACTGAGCAGGAATACAGGTTTCCCCATTTTGGTTGGCATTACCTTTACCCCTGTTCTAAGCACATTAGAAAAGCCCTGAGGCCTCAGCTGTGGGTTTTGGGCTCTTCCAAGGAGACAAAGGAGCTATCATAATGCTGGGAATGATGGATCCAGGCTGTGGGGATGCTATTGTGGACACAGGGCAGCATCAGAGCTTGGAAAAGCCTGCATGGCTGGCCAGGCTCAGCGTTTCCAAGAAAGGATCTAAAGATGGATGAAGCATCTCCTATCCTCAACAGGCAGCCTCAGGGATGGCTATTTCAGCCAGGTGCTTTTTACCTCCAAGTAATTAAGCATCCTGACTCAACCAGCGTAGGTGGCAAGGAAAATTTACTATCTTAATGCCAAGGCAATTTGCCAAAGAGGAACCAGAATGTGCAATACACAAGTGTTAAGGTCTCAGGGAATACAAATTGAAATAATAATGAGTTACCACTTCCCATTCATTAGATTGGCAAGAGTTGGCAAGAAGTGAAAGAAAGACTCATATATACTGCTAGTGGGAGCGTAAATGAATAAAATCAGATAGGACAGCAATTGGCAATATTGACTAAGGCTGGAGGTACACATTCCTTACGACCTAAGAATTCTGTTCCCTGGCATGTGCTCCAGAGACAACCTCACACCTGTGTTCAGGAATGTTCACTCAGCATAATTGTAATTAGGAAAATGGAAAACAGCCTAAATGCCTGTCAATTAGGAGTGCAGATAGACACACTAGGGACAATTTCCATAATGGACTATTTCACAAGAGGAAAAAATGAACACAACAGAATTCATGTATCAACATGGATAGTCCCCCAAAACAATGTTGAATGAAACATTAAGTAGTGTAGGGGTATAATTGGTATGATACCATTTATATGATGTCTAGGAACAAGCAAAACAATCCCTGATATTGCTGGGGGATATGTCCATATGTAGTAAGATTACAAACACACCTGAAGAAAGAATGCATGCCAAGTTCAGTGTAGTGAGAAGGGGAGGGGCTTGGAACCAGCAACTGAGTTCATGCTGTGTCCGAAATATTTTTTCTTAAGCAAAGATGTATTCATTATGTTTTCATCTGCACTCTTAAAATGTACTCTTTAAATGTACTTTTAATGTATTTTAAAGAAATTTTAAATGAGATATTTAATAATACAAGTATTTGAGAGCAATAAAAAAAGAAAGTCCATACAAGGAAGATGAACTTAGAGAGAGCTACCAGAGCAGGTAAATTTCCAGCATTCTTCCATCATTGTTGAGAGATGGGTATCAAAGCCAGTGGTGTTCTGTTCTCCTTGGCAGGTAGATCCCCAAGGTGGGGTAGCTCAATGCAATTAGCTGGTAAGATCACCGGACTCACTCTTCCAGGGATGACTCCGTGCACATTAGGAAACCTGACATTGGTTTGCCTTCCAATGTCGCTCTTTGCTGTGGGGGCAATGCCCTGGGCACACATATTATCAGAACAATCTGCAATGGACTGGATGTTTGTTTCCCCCTTAAATTCATATGTTGAAGCTTAATGGCAATGTGGTGGTATTTGGAGGTGTCGTCTTTGGGAGGTAATGAGGTCATGATGGTAGGACCGTTGTGAATGGGATTAGCGCCTGTAAGAGGGGGCCAGAGAGCTTGTGCACTTCTTTTCTGTCATGTGAGGATGCAATGAGAAGACAGCTGTCTGTGACCTGGAAGAGGGCCCTCACCAGAACCCAACCATGCCAGCACTGGCACCCTGATCTTGGGCTTCCAGCCTCCAGACCTGTGAGAAATAAATGCCTGTTGTTGATTAGCCACCCAGCTTGTGCTATTTTGTTACAGCAGCTTGCACTGAGTAAGTTACTCCCTTACCTGCTGTAACCGTATACAGGAGGGGCCTGTGCATTTGGTAGCTTGGGTTCCTCCCTGAGCCTGTGAAACTCAGATTTGAACTCATGTATTTTGGGTGCCATGACTCTTGTCGAGGCAGAGTGAAAGGGCAAGGGCATGGAGCTAGATATCCAGGGTGACAACAGGCTCCCATGGTGCCTGAGTGTGCATTAAAAAAAGCACCCCTTCCACAAGACATTCTCCAAACTGTCGAACCAAACCCACCAGCATCTTCCTACCTGCCCATGTGCCGGGGTGGGGGGAAAATTAGACATGTTTGTCTCCCCACTACAAATGTCGGCCAAAAGATCCAACTGGAAAATGCTTGCTACTACCTTCCAGTTTCACGACCCTCTCAGCTAAGGAAGCCCTTCCTGCATCCATGTCTCTCTATGCCTGTCTGTGAAGTCCCAGCTCACAGCTGACCTGGTTAGGTAAGCACTGTTATTTTGTTTCAACGGAGGGAACCTTTGGATTACATGTACATAGCTAGTCAGTGGCAGCATTTGGTTCATCACGCTGGTTTTAAAAACTCCATTGCCTTTTCTCTTCATTAGTCCTATCATCTTATGAAGAAAGTCAACTCAGTAAAAATATCCGTCAAACAATGGCTTAGGGATATGCGTACAGAACAATCAAATCAGCTGACAGAATATCTGGCTTTTCACCCAGTTATAAAATGTTGTGCTTTGCTTAACATGGTGAAGAACGAAAGCTGCTAACAGCTGATTTCTTTCTCCCAAAATGTGAGCCCTGCTATGGGAGAGCGCAACCAGCAGGGGGTGCTGGCGTCTTTCCCTGAACTTCAGGGCACGCTTGAGAGAGGGTACCTGGCGGGTGGGCAGTGGCCTCAAGTTACCAAACGAAGGGGTGGGCGCAAGGTGTGCTGATTGGACTCCATTGGCTGCGCTGGGTTCCCGTAGCGTATGTGAGAGATACCTGTCACCACTTCCCGGCTAAGACCCAGCCAGTTTCAGCAAGGACGTTCCCTCCACTGGACCCACCAGGACCCACTCCCTGCAGGGCACCATGGTCCCTCTCAAGAGGCTTTGGAGGAACTTGGGAGTTACAGGGTGTTCCCCTGATGGGAGAGTCCCTGGCATGCCGCGTGTGAATGGGACTGAGTTGGGTGGGGGAGGCTGGGAGGGCACTTGTGCTGGGTGTGATGGGGGAATGTAGTCCATGTTAGTTCCTCCTAAGAGCAGCCACTAAGAGGACTCTGGGGAGGGACAGATGGGTGCAGTGTTTTAACCCACAAATGGGAGGGTAATTCTGGCATGATGGTGGTTTTAGCAATGTTAGTAATGCACGGACCACCATAACCATGATAGTGAAGCTACATGTCTAAAAAATGTAAATCAAATCAGGCCACCTGCTAAAAACGATTCAATGGTTTCCCATTGCCCCCCCTCCCTTTTTTTGAGGCCGAGTTTCGCTCTTGTCACCCAGGCTGGAGTGCAATGGCATGATCTCAGCTCACTGCAACCTCCGCCTCCTGGGTTCAAGCGATTCTCCTGCCTCAGCCTCCTGAGTAGCTGGGATTACAGGCGCGCGCCATAACACTTGTCTAATTTTTGTACTTTTAGTAAAGATGGGGTTTCACCATGTTGGTCAGGCTGTTCTCGAACTCCTGACCTCAGGTGATCCACCCGCCTCGGCCTCCCAAAGTGCTGGAATTATAGGCATGAGCTACCGCGCCCCGCCCTCCCATTGCTTTTAGTAGAAAATACAAACTCCTACCCGTGGACTATTGGGGCTATCACGATCTGGGCTCTGCATCTCCATCTTCTCATGCCAGTCCCATCCTCTGCCTCCCCAACCCCATCGCCCTTCCTCCTGCATGGCTGCAGCCACACCTGGCTTCTTCTCTTTAATATTCCTACCATGCCTGCCCCACAGGACCTCCGCAGGAGCTGCTCTCTCTGGGGTGTGCACTTCTGGCTCAGGGCAAGGATCCATCTTTCTCACCCTTCAGGCTGTGTGTAGATAGATGTCCCTCTGTAGTGAAGTCCTCACTATCCAGCTCATTACGCTTCACTTCGGCACCCTGTCCAGACCCTTCACAGTCAGCTGCCAGCTGTGTTTTCTTATTTATTGGTGCTCATCCAGTCCAGTCCTGGATGGGACTGCCTGCCTCATGAGGGCATGAGCTTTGCCTTCTCCTCTCCCGGAACCTCCCTGATGTGGTTGCTTGGACACGTGGGCCACCCTCCCAACACCAGACTATCGCAGGGTGCGGGAAGGGCTGGGGCTGCCGCGGGCCTTGAGGATCGCCATGTTTCCTTCTCTAGTTTTTGAGACATTGGTGAAGATCCTCTGCCTGCTTCTAGCACACACATCCTGATCTCCTTCTGCCTTCAAGACACAAGATGACGCTTTAAGCCTGGTTGTTAAGAAAGAGGACTACAAACGCTTGAGTTTCTTCCCTCTGCTCACTCTCAGACGTGGCTTGCGAGGGGATTTGTGGGGTCCACCTCTCCACAGCTTGGTGGGTGGGTTCCGTCCTCCTCCTCGGACAGGGCAGGACCAGCAGCCAATCACTCCTTCCTGCCAGAGAAGGAAGTGGCGCTCAAACTGTTTTTCTGACATCAGTAATATCTGCCTATACTCCTCCAGCAGGCATCTCTGAAACATCAGTTTTGGGTGATTGGTCTAAGCCAAGCACCTTTGATAGCAAGGGTAAGCCCGCTATCCTTTGCTGGAGATGGGCACGGAGAGGGCATGTGAAGAGTGCCAGACCAGGCGTTGACAAACTATGGCTCATGAGAAGAATGGAGTGTACATTTTTAAAGGGTCATCTCTCTCTCTCTCTCTCACACACACACACACACACACACACACACACACACACACACAGAATATGCTGCAGAGATCATATGTGACCTGACAAGCCTAAAATACTCACTATCTGGTCCTTTATAGGAAATGCTTACTGACCTCTGGTCTAAACACTGAGAGGTAAGGGACCTCTGCTGCACCGCCCTGGAGGGATTTTTGATCCCTAAATAAGAAGAGGTGAGGAGGAAGCCTGCCCTTCCTCCTGGCCTGAATGTGCTTCTGAGAGGCAGTCAAGCCTGGAACTGTGGCAGCCGGCTTGTGACCATGAAGAAACCAGCCCAAGAAGAAAGGCCAACCTGCCAAGGAGGGAACAGGAGCCTGGGGCCTCGAGGACTTTGCTGAGCCTTCGTGTGACCCTGGAGCCACCTTCCTCTGGAGTTCTTGTGATGGCAGATAATTCAATGTTGTCATTGTTCAAGCCAGGGGTGGGCGAACTTTTTCCATAAAGGGCCACATGGAAAACATTTTAGGCTCTGTGTGGGCCATGAGATCTCTGTTGGCACTACAACCCTAAAAACAACCATAGACAATGTGTAAATGAATGGGTACACCTATGTTCCAATAAAACTTTACTTATAAAAATAGATGGTGGGCTGAATTTGGCCCTGAGGGCCAGAGTTTGCTGCGTATTTTGTTTGTTTGTTTGTTACTTGCAGCTGACCTATCCTAACTAGTACTCCCTGAAGTCTGCCTCAGCTCAGAAGCGTCCTTGGGTTCCAAGCCACAGGGGCTAAGCTTGAGTGTGGGTGGGGTCTGCAGCAGGGTGGTGGGAGGGATAAGCACATAAAGGCCCACACATTGATCTGCCCTTTCTATGGTCCAGGTCGTGCTTTCCTGCAATATCTTCTCATCATGGGCCTAGCAATCATGATGGGAAGGCCTCACTTTAAGAGAATGCTTTCAGCATTTCCAGGCGGTCCCTGCTTGCCCTCAACACTACATGTAGGCCTCAGCCTCCACACCTAGCATGTTTGTTAAGCAAGACTAAGCCACATGAAGCAACAGGGCAAGGGGAGGGCCCTTGTGTTCTCAGGGTCCCACGGCAGAAGTGTGGTTCCGGGAGAAATGGGGGAGTGTGCCCTTCCCTGAACAAGCATATTCCCTCAGTGTGGAGGAGCCCCTCCAAAATTTACAAGTGCTGTGATGACACGATGCTCATTCAGACCATCAGCTGCAGACAGATTGCAGAAATATGTAAGGGCTCTGTCCTTGGAGGTAGGATCTGGTTGCTCCTTGTTCCCTAAGCTTGGCCCTGAAGGGAGGGCAGGATTCCAGCCAGAGTGAATGAAGAGTGAGGCTTTGGGGAAGGGCTCGGATTGCCTCTCGTGCTTGTGTTCAGGTTCCTGCTGATTGGTTGTTCCCCAGGGAGACGAGGCTTCGAGGCCAGGTCTCTGCTCTGAGTTAACTTCACCACCCTGCACCTTGGTGGCAGTAAGAGAGCGACCTCAAAGGGCCGCTGAGAGAATTGAGGTGGATGCCTGTACAGCTCTAGTTATGGCACCCATTCCGGCCCCTGGCAAGCTCTTACTACGGTTGCAGGTGTAATTTCCAGTCTCTGCCTCCAGGGATTGCTGCTGAGCACAGACACGTTTCTCTGCTCACAGAGTGAGGCCGCCAAGATGATTCTCAGATCTCTGGTTCTGTATACAGCCCAGATAGCCTGTGAAAGGGGGAATGATAACCCCCAAAGATGTCCACGTCCTAACCTCCAGAACTAGTGAATGGGATGTTGGCAGAAGAGACTCTGTGGATGAGATTACTTCAAAGATTTGCGACGGGGAGACTATCGTGGGTTATCTGTGTGGATACGCAATGTAATCACAAAGTGTCCTTATAGATGAAGAGGGAGGCAGAGGAGATTCGACTACAGAAGAGAAGGTGATGCGACCGTGGAGGCAGAGATTGGAGTGATGTGCCCACAATTCACAATGCCAGCAGCCACCAAAGAGGCAAGGAATGGATTCTCCTCTAGGGCTTTTACCAAGGGTCCTGGCAACACCTCAGTTTTAGTCCAGGAAGACTCGTTTTGGATTTGTGACCTCCAGAACTATGAGAGAATACATCTGTGTTGTTTGAAGCTGCCAGGTTTGCAGTAGTGTGTTAGAGCAGCGTGGAAAATCCATTGAGTCCCATTGCCCTGCTTTTTATGCCTTGATGCCTTGTACAAAAGCAGAAAATGGTATGGATGGAATGGGAGGTCATTATGTTAAGTGAAACAAGCCAGGCACAGAAAGACACACATTGCGTGTTCTCACTGATTTGTGGGATCTAAAAATCAAAACAGTTCAACTCATGGAGCTAGAGAGCAGAAAGGTGGTTACCAGAGGCTGGGAAGAGGAGTGGGGGGCTGAGGGCAGGTGGGGATGATGTTAGAAAGAATGAATAAGATATACTGTTTGATCACACAGCAGGATGACTGTAGTCATTAATAATTGCACATTTACAAATAACTAAAAGACTGTAATTAGATTGTTGGTATTAGAAAGGATAAATGTGCCGGGTGCAGTGGCTCAGGCCTGTAATCCCAGCACTTTGGGAGGCCGAAGTGGGCGGATCATGAGGTCAGGAGATCGAGAGCATCCCCGTGAACACTGTGAAACCCCATCTCTACTAAAAATACAAAAAAAATTAGCCTGGCATGGTGGCGGGCACCTGTAGTCCCAGCTGCTCAAGAGGCTGAGGCAGGAGAATGGCATGAACCTGGGGGGCGGAGCTTGCAGTGAGCAGAGATCACGCCATTGCACTCCAGCCTGGGTAACAGAGCTGGACTCCATCTCAAAAAAAAAAAGAAAGAAAGAAAGAAAGGATAAATGCTTCAGGGATGGACACCTCATTCTCCATGATGTGCTTATTTCACAGTGCATGTCTGTATCAAAACATCTCATGTACCTCACATATATATGCACCTAATGTGTACCCAGAAAAAAATGAAAAAGAGCATAAAAGAAAAAAAAAAAAAAAACAAAAGCAGAAAAGAGGGCAAATGAGAGTCGGGGACTGTGATCTCATTTTGCCCAGGATGAAGCTGGGTGACCCGGGTACAGAGCAAGCCCCTTGGCTTCTTGAGCTCCCATGTGCAGAGTGAGGGGCGGATGCAGGGGCAGGGTGTGACTTTGATGAACATTCCCTCCAGGTGGCTCTGCCCTCGGCCCCCTCTCAGGATTGTTTGTAGCTCTTTGCCTCTTCTTGGCCATTTGGAGTTTTCAGGGGCCCTACTAGGTCCTCTTGACTTCTCACTTTGCTCTCCTTGGTGGTCTAATTCATGGCCAAGGGCCCACCTGCCGTCCAGACACTGCTTTTCAACCTGACCTCTCAGCTCCAGGCTGGTTATTTCCAACAGCCTACTTGGGTGTCTCAAAGGCACTTTACACTCAATGTGTCCAACACTGAACTCAAGGCTCCCGGCATCGCCATTCAGTTATCCCTCCACATTTCCAACCCTATGGATTGCACTAGCGTCTGTCCATTATGCAGGCCAGGCTGCAAAGGCTGTCTCAATGCTGCCCTTATGCTGTCGGGGCTTAGAACATGACACCCCAAAGCGTGGTGCCTCAGCCTGAGTATTTTGAACTGAAGGACATTGGAAGGAACTCAGAAGCAAGGTCTTTCCAACCTCCTCAGACCCTCTCTTCTGCTTGCCTTCATCCTCCAAAGTGAGTCACAGAAACCAGAATTTATCTTCCTCAAGATGGGTCATAGAACCTAGAAACCCTCCTGCTAAAGCAAACCATAAAACCTAGAAAGGTCACTCTCTATCTTCTCCTTCTCCTTTGAAAACTCTCATTTCAGAAAGGGTCCCGCCCCATACCCAGGAGGAATGGAGGCTACACAGAGAGGCTGAGAAGAATCTGAGCAGACTGTTTTGCTGGGTCCCCTTTCAGTCTGTTCCCAGTAGGTCATACCCGTTTGTCCAATCACATTTCTATCTGGCTGTCCATTCTTCATCTAATCTAAGCATAAAAATTAACAGTTTTCCCTGGGCCTTTGGGTTGTCATTTCTGAAGCCTCCCATGTCACATAAAACTTGGATTAAATAAATTTGCTCTGTTTTTCTCTTGTTAATGTGTCTTTTGTTATAGGAGTGTTGGCCGTGACCCTTAAGATGGATAAGTAAAGGACTCACACCTTCACAGCTCTACAGCCCCATCTCCAATAAGTAGCCACACCTGCCACTTCTACCCACAAATACCTGGATTCCGCTCATCTCTTCCCATTGTCATTCCTACCACTCAATTCCCTGTCACCATCATCTCCTGATGGGTCTTCTGGAGCAGCTTCCTCACTCATCTCTCCAGTTCATCCCTTGCTTCTACCAGTCTATCCTTGCTACGGTAAAACGGGCATTTGAGAAAGGCAATTACACGGTTACCCCTCCCCTGCTCAGCACTCTCCAATTTGATGGACACCAAAATCCTTGCCTTGGTCCCCTTGGTCCTGCGTGCCCTCCTCTCTGGCCTCATCTCAAGCCACTGCCCTCGTGCTGCACTCTTCCTCTGTAATCCACACTGCTGGCTTCTTTTCCTTGAATGTGCTATGCTCCCTCCTGCTGCAGGAGGGCCTTGCACTTGCTGCTTCCTCTTCTTTCTTCTAGTGAATTC